>NC_000011.10:30817575-30969090 GCF_000001405.40 Homo sapiens | reverse complement strand
TTTGTAAATCTTGCAGTGGCTTTGGCCAAAAAAGAATCATTATTTAAGCATAAATAAATTTATTGGCAATGATGGAATTTCAGTACTTAATTTTGAGAAATAATTTTGAGTAGGGGAATTTTGTGATATCTTGCAAATTATATCATGCAAATGATCTCTTACTTAGAAGTAAAGGAATTTGTGTTTATTTATGTTATCTCACTTTAAAGATTTAAGAATTCAATAATTTCGAGTATCAATAAATGGCAAATTGAGAAGTTAGAATTCACCAGCTAGATTTTAAATGTGCAGAATCCCTCCCTATACATTTCAAGACCCCTAGTGGATGCCTGAAACCACAGAAAATATCAAACCATATATATATATATATATATATATAATTTGATATATATATAATTTGATATATATAATTTGATATATATATTTGATGTATATATAACCACAGATAATATCAAACCATATATATATATACACACTTTGTTTTTTCTTATATAAACATAAGTGATAAAGTTTAATTTATAAATTATACACAGTAATGCAATAGCAATAACTAGTAATAAAATAGAACAATTATAACAATATGCTGTAATAACGGTTATGTGAATGTGGTCTCTTCCTCTCTTTTTCTCTCTCTTTCAACAAGAGTTTTCCCTTTAGTATTTTCAGACTGTGGTTGATCGCTTGTTTCTGAAACTGAAGAAAGCAAAACTGTGATAAAGGGGACTACTGGAGTCCAGGTTAACTTATTCATTCATTGAGTAAATAGCAGAATGTGTCCTATGGGCTAGACACTGTTCTGAATCCTAGGGAACCAAATTCCCATGTCCTCTCTGTTGACTCTTCAAACCCCTCAGGAAGAATCAGTGGTGCTATGGTCAGTTCTCTGCCGTACTTTCTACAAAACCCATGATTACCCTGATCACCTGTGTCACTGGTACCTATTCCATTGGCCCATCCTGCTCACCAAACTGGGACTCCTCAAGGATAGAAACTGTCTCAGTTCCTGGGATCCCTGGCACCCAGCAACATAAATGTAGGTGGTGAAAATGTGTTGGATGGTGTTTCCCAAGGCAGACTTTAGACAAAGCATCCTTGTTATTTCATTACATTTGTGGACTTCCTACTAATATTCATTCTTTTCCCATACCTCAGAGCTCTCATACCTCATCATTTTTTTTCTCTACCTAACTGCTCTTGTCCTTTTCATGTGGGACCTCTGGGGTGTTTTTCTTTGTTTTTCAGTTTCTTGTTCTTATTTCTCATCTGTTTCCTAAGAACTTTGATTGACACAGAACTGAAATGTGACTCATAATAGACTATCTATAGACTTTAAGAGCTGTTTGGGGAAATATTTCTGAATTGGAGATACTTTTGAAAAGCTATCACTCACTTCCTTATAAGTTCTAATCTCTTTGACCTGTTCTGATGATTGAAGACTGTCCCACAATTTCCTGGGTAAACACACAGAACCACCTTAGACTAGGCAAGTGGGTCCCCTGGCCAGATCCCAGGCCCCAGGAGCCTTTACCTTGAAGTGTCTGCCTTGAAATTTTCTAAGATATCTCTCTGTTTGTCTGTTGTTGGTGTATAAGAATGCTTGTGATTTTTGTACATTGATTTTGTATCCTGAGACTTTGCTGAAGTTGCTTATCAGCTTAAGGAGATTTTGGGCTGAGACGATGGGGTTTTCTAGATAAACAATCATGAGTGAACTCCCATTCACAATTGCTTCAAAGAGAATAAAATACCTAGGAATCCAACTTACAAGGGATGTGAAGGACCTCTTCAAGGAGAACTACAAACCACTGCTGAAGGAAATAAAAGAGGACACAAACAAATGGAAGAACATTCCATGCTCATGGGTAGGAAGAATCAATATCGTGAAAATGGCCATACTGCCCAAGGTAATTTACAGATTCAATGCCATCCCCATCAAGCTACCAATGACTTTCTTCACAGAATTGGAAAAAACTACTTTAAAGTTCATATGGAACCAAAAAAGAGCCCGCATCGCCAAGTCAATCCTAAGCCAAAAGAACAAAGCTGGAGGCATCACACTACCTGACTTCAAACTATACTACAAGGCTACAGTAACCAAAACAGCATGGTACTGGTACCAAAACAGAGATATAGATCAATGGAACAGAACAGAGCCCTCAGAAATAATGCCACATATCTACAACTATCTGATCTTTGACAAACCTGAGAAAAACAAGCAATGGGGAAAGGATTCCCTATTTAATAAATGGTGCTGGGAAAACTGGCTAGCCATATGTAGAAAGCTGAAACTGGATCCCTTCCTTACACCTTATACAAAAATCAATTCAAGATGGATTAAAGACTTAAACGTTAGACCTAAAACCATAAAAACCCTAGAAGAAAACCTAGGCATTACCATTCAGGACATAGGCGTGGGCAAGGACTTCATGTCCAAAACACCAAAAGCAATGGCAACAAAAGCCAAAATTGACAAATGGGATCTAATTAAACTAAAGAGCTTCTGCACAGCAAAAGAAACTACCATCAGAGTGAACAGGCAACCTACAACATGGGAGAAAATTTTCGCAACCTACTCATCTGACAAAGGGCTAATATCCAGAATCTACAATGAACTCAAACAAATTTACAAGAAAAAAACAAACAACCCCATCAAAAAGTGGGCGAAGGACATGAACAGACACTTCTCAAAAGAAGACATTTATGCAGCCAAAAAACACATGAAGAAATGCTCATCATCACTGGCCATCAGAGAAATGCAAATCAAAACCACTATGAGATATCATTTCACACCAGTTAGAATGGCAATCATTAAAAAGTCAGGAAACAACAGGTGCTGGAGAGGATGTGGAGAAATAGGAACACTTTTACACTGTTGGTGGGACTGTAAACTAGTTCCACCATTGTGGAAGTCAGTGTGGCGATTCCTCAGGGATCTAGAACTAGAAATACCATTTGACCCAGCCATCCCATTACTGGGTATATACCCAAAGGACTATAAATCATGCTGCTATAAAGACACATGCACACGTATGTTTATTGCGGCACTATTCACAATAGCAAAGACTTGGAACCAACCCAAATGTCCAACAATGATAGACTGGATTAAGAAAATGTGGCACATATACACCATGGAATACTATGCAGCCATAAAAAATGATGAGTTCATGTCCTTTGTAGGGACATGGATGAAATTGGAAACCATCATTCTCAGTAAACTATCGCAAGAACAAAAAACCAAACACCGCATATTCTCACTCATAGGTGGGAATTGAACAGTGAGATCACTTGGACACAGGAAGGGGAATATCACACTCTGGGGACTGTGGTGGGGTCGGGGGAGGGGGAAGGGATAGCATTGGGAGATATACCTAATGCTAGATGACACGTTAGTGGCTGCAGCGCACCAGCATGGCACATGTATACATATGTAACTAACCTGCACAATGTGCACATGTACACTAAAACTTAGAGTATAATAAAAAAAAATTAAAAAAACAAAACAAACAAACAAAAAACAATATTAGGTCTTCCAATCTATGAACAAAAAAAAAAAAAGAAATTTTCTAAGATATCTCTGGTGACAAGAATGCTTTAAGTCCAGACTGGGATGGTGTGGGTCCCATCCCCATTATTTCCCTTCAAGGCCCTCTCTGATCCTCTACTCATTGTGGGATTGGACAGATACCCTGAGAAGCTATAGGTTCAGAGGGTAACCTGATGAGTGGATCATTCTTGCTGGCCAGCACAATATTTCTTTTGTGGTATGATATGGAGACTGGGCCTCCAGAATGGTACTGACATGGTGATTTTTGGGTGACTCTCACTCATGTCAGATACAGAACAAGTTCAAGGCTCTGGACTTTGGATGATTCACTGCCTATTCTTGAGTTTAAGTTATGTGTGTACACCTATGTGTTGGCTTTCGCCTGTATGTGTTCTGACCATGGCACCACCTCTTGTCTATGGCAATCTTTCGTGAAGAATGGCAGCAGGTTTGCTTTATCCTTTGCACTCCACTGGTGTCCAAGGGACTCACTCACCCTGTCTTCAGGCTCCAAGCCACATGTCTGTTTGGCAGTCCTCTGGAAGTTACCATGCCTATCTTTTCTGAGGGCTTTAGAGATTACTGCTCTGAAGCCTCAACAAGCCATTTGGATCTATGTCCTCTCATACCTCTGATCGACATGACATGCTGTCCTGTTGATCTTAAGCCATGCAGAAGAAAGGATGAACATTCTTCGTGCAAATGAGACTCATCATTTCATTCTGCCTATTGGCCCCTCTTCCATCCTCCCCACTTGTGTTAAGGGTGAAGATGTGGTTAACATTGGAAGAAACCACATTCTTGAATGCAATGATTGTAGCAGAAAAAGTTCAAATATATATATAATTGGACTTATATTGGTCTATGATTATGCTATAAAATTCCAAAAAATAATCTTAACATGATTAGAAAACAAATCATCATTCACATTTTCCTACATACTCTGGGTAACACTTGTACTTGGTTATCATCAGTGAACCCCAGCAATGACCTCTGAGGGAGTCTTTGTAAGCTGGTATTCATGGATGGTGTGACGGATGCTGCGGTGTCATGAGTAATTATGTTAACAGCATTGCATCATGGTGTTAAGGAGCTGCAGAGGCAAAAAGATCTATGCCATGTCAATACAAATAAATTCCAAAGAGCCATGACAGTGGAACTTCTTGAGGGGAAGGATATTAAATTAGTCAAGAACTGCACATTCGATGATAAAGAACACAAAGAGGTGGTTCCTGAACCTGAGATGATGTCTAGAACTTATGAAGAATCTTCACGTGCACCACTTGAGCAATAAACAAATGTGTAAGCATCTCTTCTCTATCCATTAATCACTATACCTCACACAGACCTGTAAGTTTTGGAATGAATTCTAAAATTGTGTTGTTTACATAGGCAAGTACCCTACAAAAACTATCTTTGCAGGGCACTGCACACCCTAGGAGTGGCCCTGGAGATTTTTTAAAAAAACATATTTTTAGTGCCAATATTTCTGAAGAGCTAACGCTTCCTGCCTATAGGAGTGTTCCTTGAAGAACTTGGAGAAGTGGATGAAAATCAGAAGGAAAAACAGGACAAGAATTTACGAAAACAGCAATGAGAATTAGGAAGGATATGACTTAATGGTGGCAGAAACACATGAAAATTTCCCAGAAGTAGATAGCAGAAAAAGCAGTAAAATGTTCAGAGGAAGTGCACAGGAAAATGTAAAAGACTGGGGCCAATGAAAAAACCCAAGATTATACTAGAAAGTGTGTTAAGCTAAGCTGCTGTGGCAAAGAGACTCCAAAACATTTAGGCTTACCCCGAAGCTCATTTCTGTTTGCATGATAGTTTATAGATAGGTAGTGCTACAGAGCTGGTTAGGTGGCTGTGCCATTCTTATCATGTGGCTCCCACCTATGGCTCTAAAGCAGTTAGTCCAGCTCTTATCATCTCTCAGTCAGTGGGATGGAGAAGAGGGACTAGTGGAGTACATGTCCAGTTGCTTTAAGGGTAAGGTCTGTGAGTGGTGCCCATCATATCCACTCACAACCTATCTGGCCAGAACTTTGATACATGGCTACACCTAAATGCAAAGAAATCTTGTAATAGATGGGTAGCCGTGTACCCAGCTAAAAGTCTATTACTACTGAAGGAAGAGAAAATTGATTTGGGGAATTAACTGTTTCTGTCTGATATGGACTTTAAGCACTTTAAGCAAAATTAGTTGACATAACTGAGGCCAGGAAATGACCAGTTGCAGATATGAATTGCTCTCTCTTCTAGCTCGAACTCTGTCTTTACTCGAAGAATCATATGTTTGGGAGTTATATAATATCAAAAGATTATTCTTCCTTGGTTTCTTGAAATGGCACGAACTTCTTTTGTATTCCTTGTAATGCCTAGCGTGGTGCTGGGGAGAGACAGCAAGTGCTCAAGAGAGCATTCATTTATCTTGCTTTCATTTAAATAAATATGGAAACTTTAGGGAGTTTATCCACCAAATATCTGAGATACCAAAGCTAACCTACCTATCAAGCCCAGATAGGTGATGAATGCAACAGATTCAAGAACTCCAGGATCAAGTGTGGTTCCATCATAAGCAGGTATTGTTGAAGAAGGGATGGTTTTTTGTTTACAAATCTTGCACTTTGTAGAGACTACTGAGTTGCAAAGAGAGCTTTGCTTTTACAGCAAGTATGAAACTCTGACTATGGGAGATAATGATAGGTTTTTAGTGCTGAATATAAATTACTCCTATGTATCCAGAATCTAAATAACCAGGAAGCTCAACCAACTAGAAAAACAAAACAAAATAGCAGGTAAAAGACTTATGTTAAAAGCGAACTTCCAAGAGATGTCAGGATTGGCTTTGTATCCATTTGTATATCCATTTATTTTTCTAGACTAAATATATATGTACTACTGGCAATTATTATTAATGTACCATATGTTTCCACCATATTTAATAATTAATCTTTGAAAAATAAATTTAGATTGTGTTAAGGTGCTTAAAGAAAATCAGTTGAGAGGGATATAATATAACATTATGGAAATTATGATGAAATAAATATTCTTTTCAGTGTTATTGTTGAAATGATTTCTTATTCTTAGAAACTCCCAGCTATACAGGATGGATTATTATCATAGCATAGCATTCTCCTTCTTAGCCCTTAATTGCCATTAAAGTCCAGTTCCTGTTTTAAATAATTTGCTAGTTATCAAAATAATGTAAAGAGATAGGGCAAAGGGGCATGAATATACAATAAGGCAGATGAACAAATTTCAACTGTATTTATTAGTTTGTACAAAATATTCCAGAAATAAAGTAGAATAATGTTTAATTTACAAAAATTACTTGATCTTTGTAAATTTTGGCTTGCAAATTAATAATGCTGCAGTCTTTAGTGTCTTGTTTCTATTAGGATGAAGTTACTTAAAATTTAAATCTTAAAATAATTGTTTACATAAAATATTAATTTATCTTTAATGTTCATTGTCAGTTGCAAAATAAAAATGGGCTAAAATATTTCATACAGTGATACTGGTTAAAAACTAGAGAGTAATATTTGATGTATTCAGGTTTCAGCGGTGCATCTAACCTTTTAACCCTTATGCAGTGTTTAAGACCAGCTTGTGCATGTAGTTCCAAATTTGGAGTGATTTGTTCCCTGTCCAGAGTACTAGAACCCTAGAAAACTTCAAAACAGTTCAAATCCATGGAATTTTGATGGGCTATTTTCAAATTCCATCAAAGTAAGTCATTATTACTATTACTTTTTACAATCTATATATTTATTTTTCTTATCCTTTCCTTTTTTTCAGAGATGGAGTACTTAAATTCAGTCTTATAAACTGAATCCTATCAAAATTAATACACAAAATATATTATTGTACCCGTATGAATAATATCCTCTTCACTGTTTCTACGGAAACATACCATTTTAAATTCATTATAAATACATTCTAAGTGCTATTATCTTGTTGCTTAGGTAATCCTAAAAACTGAAAAGTGGTCAGCAAAATAAATAGCACCTTGCGTAAAACAAAACGTTAAAGCGTTTCTTTAACAGTCGTGGGATGTGAATCTGATCATTTTAACCCTCATGTTTGTTAGACACTGCTTATTTGAGCTGGAATTTGCTGGAATATCTGTTATTTATCTGTTATATACTGTACCAGATCCAAATGATATATTGTCTAATTTTATTACTATGTTCATTACCTTATTGGAAACAATACAATTTTGTCCTGATACAATATGAAAAAGACTATTTCTTTTCAACTAGGGCACATTTAGATTTGTTTTTGTTTTACTGTTGATTTCCAAGAGTGCTAAATAGTATCTTTTTGTTACTATGTATACAGACTTGCACAAATTTTCATAGTTGTAGTTCCATTAAAGGCACTGGACTCCAAAAAATTATCTAAAGTATTTTTGTTTTCCATTACTTTAAAAGATTAATTGAATAAAGCATTGTGGTGGATCTGTGGCTCCATTAATCATTCTGAAATTGATATGTTTAATTCTGGATTTTGTTTTTGAGAGAGGAGATAACTGTCAATCAAATATTGAACAGAGACCCTAGTATTTCTTTTAAGTTCAAATAAATCTGGGAGGAAATTGCAACTTTGTTCATACTCCTATCCATGGAAGTAGATACTCATGAAGTATCATAAATAGAATTTTGCCTTTAATGGGAAGGCAAAGCTAATAAAGACATTATATTAAATAAATAAAATTGCCTTTGAAGCTTATTTGGCTGCCTTGTGGGCTGTGTGTATACATGAGTGTTTTCAAGTAGGTCCTTCCAAAGCCTGAGATGTTTTGTTTTATATAACGTTTCTATCAGAAATACCAATTGTTCAAGAACACCCCTGTCCACACTGAAGAAAAACATGGAAATATTAAATAGAAGCAAGTTCTCCAGGGGACTACGAAAAGGCTGCCTGCAAGCATTGCATGAATCACTGTCTCCACCTAGTGCTAGCTTTTAAGAATTAGGATTCCAGAGAACTTACTGATGCTGTAAAGTTCTAATTTGTGTTGTGCACATGTGTTGTCATTATAGCTGGGCCAGCTAGTGCCATTACAGTTAAGGGTCTGTCAGCTTTTCATTTATAAAGCAGAATATTAAGAGTTCTATTGCTTTTACATGAAAGGTCAATCTGTGTCAGAACTCTGCAGTCTAATAGCCTTTGCTCTATGTTAATGTTTATTAACAGTGTAAGTTGAACATGACCGGCTCATTTTAAAGACACCCTGATGGGCTGAAGTTATATAGGCACTGCAACCAGATAATGAAAAACTGTAGAAGTAAACTAAGATGTGATTTTATATCCATACAAGTATGCTTATATAAGATATATACATATAGTTGTTCTATTATATATTTATACTTGAAGATTAAATTCCATCCCCAACACCCAACTTCTTGGTTGAGAGATAATTTAGATTGAATTTAGACTCTTTTATGGCATACTACCTGAGAGTATGATCAGATAGAGATTTAGATTGCTCCTCACCCGTGTCTTTTGGGTGCTTCAATTCGAGTTTCCTAGTAAACAGTAGCCTGAAGAAGTTTATATGCTAAGGTTTATTAGGAAGGGCAATCCCAGGTCAGCAAAAGTGAAAGAAAAATGAAAGCAGGGAAGGGAAGGAGGGAAATAAAGTACCAGGTGGAGTGTGATGGATTTGGCCATAGCTTCAAAAGTAAACTCACTTGGGACACGTTTCATCCAGGTTTGTAGGACCCACATATCTTGGGAAGGAAAGGAAAGGGATTTATTTATTGATTCCTCTTGTCCCTAGGTTCTAATTAGTCAAAGTTTGCCCCAAGAGGCATTGAGTCCCCCTCACTTCTGGATTATATAACTGATCCTCCGAGGACCTTTTAGGCAGTCACTGGGGAAGCCAGAGCCCATGCCCTGTGGGACAATATTTTATCTGAGACAGGAAGTGGTGGAATGACTGGTCAGCTCCAAGAAGTGGAGCACTCCAGTAGTTCAGTGGGTATGAAGGAACACTCCATACCCATGAGCATTCCATAGTTCAGTGGGTATGAAGGAAGCTGTGCCAAAGCCTGGCCCTCTCTCTGGGAGTATATAAGAGAATCAGTGCTGGTAGAAGACGAAGTGACTACAGTGGTCGCCTAAGATCTTCACTGAACATGTGAACAGGGAGGAGAATGGGGCTGAGCGAATTTGGAGAGGCACGTAAACCGGGCCCAGTACAGTCTACCTCTTAGGCCATTCAGATCCACTTGCACCTCTAACAATATCCCTATCTTATAGGAGAATAAGATGCCCTCAATTCTGCCTCAAGGGGTTGGGGTTATAGTTAAGTACTTCAATGTGGTCATCCGTTGCAGTCTCCTAAAATGACTCAAAAAGGGTTTGCAAATCAAGCCTCAACCTTCACTGCTGCAGTTGGTCCTAAGACTCTGATTGGAAGGCATCAACTTCCTCCTCTTCCATCAATTTTAGATTTCTCTTATTCTTGGCCAGTGCTTTGACTAGTGTGAGTTACTTTACCCAGGACTTTATCCTTGAGAAGTCTCAGCCCTTAATGTATTTGCCCATACTAGACTATGACTGATGCAATTGCCCCTTTCCTCTATTCACTGGGCATAGAAGCACTACCAAATGTCCCCAAGGTCCCCTGGGTTTCAGACCTTTGCCTCCACTGTGTAGGGGCAAATTTCAGTCCTCATGGCAATCAAGATCAATTCTCCAATCACTCCCCAGGTCAGTGGAAGACTTATTGCATCCACTGGCAGAAGTGTTACCACAGTGAAAATCAGTACCCAGCAAAGCCTAAGGTTTTAGAAATAGGAATACAGATTCTGAAGTAGCTTTTTGAAAGTGATGGCAAGAAGGGCCAGTCCTCCCTCTACCATTGGTTTCTGAACCCATGTATTCTAGCTGTTAAGGACACACCACCATGTAATGCTGGGATTATTGCATATACTGATCCTTAGGATAACACCCCAACCTTACCAGTGTTACCCCAAGCTGGAGACTTAGTTCAGACTTCAGGGCCATTCTTTCATTCTCTGATGCCAACTGCTTCTGGGAGATAATGTACAATGTAAGACAGGTGAATCTTGTGGTTCACTATTGCACATCCTTTGCCATAAAATGGGTCTCTTAATCTGAGACAATGTTGTGTGTGATATCAGGTCAATATATAAACATTCTGATGGGGCACTTTGGGCATCCTGTCCACTTGGTTGTTGAGAACCTCTTCTGTGATAGATGCTCTCTGGTAGGCATTTACATGACAAATAAAGATTCACGAGCTTTATACCCTCCCCATAGATCCATCCACATACTTTTTCCTCAAAATTCCATTTCCCTGATCTTCCAGTTTTGTCTTCTTGAGGCTTCTGATCAGCAGGTGAAATCATTAATAATGTGTCAATGTATATCCACAGCTCTGGTTACCTATACTTTCTACAAAGTGGATGATCAAGTATTCCACTCACAGCTCAACCTAATGGGACAATTTCTCACCACTGTCCTTCAGGGACACATCCAAGTGGGACTATAAATGTAACAGCAGTGCACTCTGACCAGCACTAACACATCACACTGACCTCTTTGTGAACCAGGCTTGAGTTCTTCTGCCATTAAGTCAAATAGTCATAGAGAAACTGTCTTCAGGCCATAGGTGTAAGTTAAGGGAGAGGAATCAGTGCAAAAACCTGGATTTGCTTGAGCCTGAGCCTAAATATTTCACTTCCATTGTACAATATAGGATGTCGTTGCATCTGTCTTACCACATGTCATGAAGGATATTACCACACCCAGCTCATGATGGGTGGCTCAGTTTTCATAGTCACTTCACCATGCATGTCCCAGTTCTTAGTTTCAAAAACAGTGTTTCAATAAACCAGGGATTGTTTTTCAAAAGCACAGTTGTTTTCTGTTGCAAAGAGGATGATCTTGCTCAACAATCTTAGGACCAACACTGCACCTCTCTTACTGGGCTTACCAGAGACTTAACACAGAATCCTTTATCACCTCAGATAACTTTAGTACAATTGGGTCTGCCAGGTCAGAAGGAGGAAATACCCTTTGTCAGATGTTTCTGTTAGTTCAGGTATGTTTTAAGAAAAGACCTTTGACTTCGGTAATGTAAAAACCCTGATGAGGCAGTTTCATTGGAGTTTCAGAGATGAAAATCTAATAGGAATGGTTTAGGAGAGAAAGGGAAGAGAATGAAAAAGGAGATGAGCCTTTTAAGGTCTTTGCTGCAAAGGGACACACAGAAATAAGGCAATAACTAGTCATGGATGTGGGTGTAGAGAGGGTTCTTTTTTCCATGTCAGATTGTCAGACATTATGCATATGGAATGATGCAGAAGGGAAGGAAAATTAACAGCAGAAAGCAGGAGCAAAGTCCTAGATGAGGGAGGATAAGGGTCCGAGGCACAAGCACAAGTATTGGCCTTCAATCAGAGAATAGACAGCTCCGCTATAGTGGAGGGCAGGAGGGCAGGCAGAGTGTATGGGTACAGAGGTAGGGAGCTGGGTAGATTTGCTGGTGGGAGGATGAGGAAAGTCTTCTGACCACTTCTATTTTCTCAGTGAAATAAGAAGGGCTCCAGCAGACATTGAGAAATGGGCAGTGGGAAGTGAGAGGTTTGATGAGAAAGAAGTCATGTGCCCCTCAGGGGTTGGAGTCAATGGGATGGAGGAATGCAGTGAGATGGCCCAGCAGTGCTAAGGGTCCACTTGAGGTTTGTGGTTATAAATTTAAAAGAGTAGTTGTCAACACTACCCGATCTCATGCTCTCTCTTTATAAAAAATATATTTTAATGACTTCTTTATTATCCTAAAATAAAATTTATAGTTAAGATAACCTACCCACTAATGTAATTTTAAAGAAATGGTTGACCAGTAATAATTATGGAAATAAAAGAAAAATAACTTTAAAGTAAAAGTAATATATATTATAATATAGATTCTCAGCACAGCTATTCTGGACAACATTAAGTTTGCAGATACTTGCTCCTATGCATAGAACGAACTGGATATGTGAACTATAAATACCAAAGGATACAACTATGTTGTGTTGGTGACTCAAATACCATAAATGGTATTGCTATCAATGATGTGATTTTTCCAAAATAGTGAACAACATAAAAAAAATCAGAGTTTCCCTACTTGAGATATTGGAGGGAGCTGAATTTCTATAAAATTCAGTGTGTATGAAAAAGTACTTTGGGCTGGGCATGGTGGCTCATGCCTATAATCCTTGCACTTTGGGAGGCCAAGGTGGGAGAATTACCTGAGGCCAAGACTTTGAGACCAGCATGGGCAACATAGCTACACCCCATCTCAATAAAAAAAACTGGTATCATTTTGTAAAATATACTTTGGCTTTAGACTCCAATTTTCCCCAACATGAATGCTCAGAGGGAAATTTGAAAGTCTGTGAGATGCAGGACAAACTTTCCCATATTTTGAAGGATATTTGGTATTCTTGGTCTCCTGCCAGTTAGATGACAGTAGTGTCATCTAATCATTGTGACAACCAAAAAAGTCCTCAAATTCTTAAACACTCCCTAGTATATCCGTACTGCTCCCCAAACCACATTGTGATCTGATCATTTGTAGCAATTTCATTCATGGTTGTTTGTGTTTTTCTCCAACCACTGATCAACTCTTCAAGTATAGGCTTTGAGTTGGACTTAACCAGAGTTGGTTTATTTATTTATTTTTTAAGTTAATACAGAGAAGGAGAAGGGGCAATGGGTTGAGGGCAAGCACAAGACAGTGGCTATGACGCTGGACCATGAATCTTAACTGAGTACAAAGGGAAGAGCCTACCTGGCAGGGAGGTTACGGGGTATAAATAGGTAATCAATGCAGTGGCTTGGATAATCTGGAAGAGTTGAGGAATTATTGGAATACGGATACTTAAATACATGAACTAGAGAAAAAGGAGGTGGTGGTGAAAGGGTGATGGTGTTGAAAACAGGATTTTGAAAGTGGTGTAGTTATTTGTATTGACCAGTTTGAGGTTGTGTTCATGGGAAGGGTAGGCTGATATTTGAAAAGGGGTTAAAGTCTTGGGAGGCCCTGAGAGGCCAGGGTGGATTGTCTACTCAGATAATGAAAAGATGTTGGATAATTACAGGAGCAGAGAGGTAGAGAGAACAAAAGTAAGCCAGGATAGTAAACTCTTCAATAAATGAGAAGAGAGGATATAGGAGAACTGATATAAATGCAACTAGGAAGTGAAGTAGGTGTTATGGTCTATTGATATGTGCTTCAAAGCGACTGGGGATCTTTGGAAGTGGATGGAGTAACAATAAACTAGATATGGCTATGAGAAACAACAAAGCAAGCTTTTATATCTTCAGGCCCAGAAGATATTGACGTGTGAATGAGAAAACTACAAGAAAGGTTTTCAAAAGAAGCGGGTTCTTGGAGGTAGACCACGTATTCCAAAAAATAAAATAAAATTGGTGTGATTTAAATATATGTGTTCCTGTTACTTTCACCTGCAGTTGTAGGAGCTTACCGCCTTCTGAAGTTGTTCGCTAATATTCCAATAACTCAAATATGTTGTCTGAATTAATGAACTTTCCATTTCTCTTTAGACTTCAATTTGGGTTGCTGGGTATTTGTTGTCTTGTATGTAGCCAACACTCCACGAAACAAGACATATAAAAAGCATTGCTCAGATAATGAATTTGTAATTTCACAGAGCAAAGAAGAGAAATACAAGGCCAAGTACTATGGATGGATCTGATGGGGCTAAGGGATCTCAGAAAATTTGCAGGCTCAGATGACCATCATGTGCACTGGAAAATTATGGGTGATGCACTGCTCCTGCACTCTCATTCATTAATCAGTGATGTATTGCATTAGTAAATGTCCATCGTTTCATTTCTAGGACCAGTATTTCTTAGCTATTATAATTATGCTCTTGCCACAATGTTACATTTTATTGGCTAATACTGATTTAGGAATTTTACATCTTTAATTATAAATACAATTGCTGTATCACTTGTTAAATTACCACTGACTAACTTTATTATGAAGCTTATCTCCCCTTCATGGGATGAATTAACTAGTTTTCTGTATCTTTATGGTTTAAAGTATTTTATATCACATGAAAAGATCTGTCCCATGTTCTGCAAAGATATATGATCAGGAGCTCGTTTTTAGTATTTTCTATTTCAAATCTGTGAGGTTTTTTCCAGAAATTAATTTATTCATTAGAATTGTTGTATTTAGGCTGGGCGTGGTGGCTCACACCTGTAATCCCAGCACTTTGGGAGGCCGAGGCCGGCAGATCACGAGGTCAGGAGATCGAGACCATCCTGGATAACACGGTGAAACCCCGTCTCTACTAAAAATACAAAAAAATAGCCGGGCGTGGTGGCAGGCGCCTGTAGTCACAGCTACTCCGGAGGCTGAGGCAGGAGAATGGCGTGAACCCGGGAGGCGGAGTTTGCAGTGAGCCGAGATCGATCGAGCCACTGCATTCCAGCCTGGGCGACAGAGCGAGACTCTGTCTCAAAAAAAAAAAAAAAAAAAAAAAAGAATTGTTGTATTTATTAATATATACATGCATAATATACTCTTACTTTTCATTTTGTTAATGTTAACTATTTAGCTCAATTTTTCTGTTTGGTTTGTCTTACATTCTTATTCATCTAGATTTATTTGCAAGAGATTTGCTATTATATTTTTTATTTCAAAGACATATTTTGGGGGTTGTTTCTACTTTTTGCCTACTATTAATAGTGCTGCTGTGAACTTTCATGCACAAGTATTGTTTGAATACGTACTTTCAAATCTTTTGAGTTTATAAACCTAAGTATGGGATTGCTGGGTCACATGGCATTCTAATATTTGACTTTCTGAAGAACTGCCAAACTGAAAAACACTTCTTTGGACCATTCTGCTGAGGGTCTACTTTCCAAGTTATTGATTTCTATTTGAACCTTTATTATAATTCCCCTTCACATATTTTTCCTTAGGACAATTTTATATTTAAAAAATAATAATTTGAGTTGAATGCTTTATTAATTTCCCTTCTCTACTTAGCTTTTAATAAATTAGCACTTAATATTATAAATTTATCTTTGGATATAATTCTACATGTATCCTGTAAGGTTTCAAGTACGTTATTTCATTGCTTACTAAATAACTACTGATCACATTTTTCCCCCCCATCTGGTATGATAGAGTTTTAGGGAAGAAATGTGTGTTTACTTATAATTAATATATAATTAATATAATGCTTATGATAATAAATATAATACTTATATATAATGTAATTAATATAATTACTATATAATTAATATAATATGTGGTCGAAATTTTAAAATTGCATTTATATCTGATTTTATTTTCTCATTTGTCACAATATATGACTTATTCCATTTTTATTTCAAAACTATATTAAAGTTTACTTTGTGTATATGTGGCAAATATTACAAATATTCCATGAATTGTTGAGAAAGATATGTTCTCCATTAGCATGTTACAGTGTATATAAATACTTGCATTTATTACTTATAGCATTCAGATATTTTGTTTCTATTACTTTAAAAAATTTATCTGGTACTTTGCAATCTGTTGGTCTTTTAATAATGTATCCCACAATAATTGTATGTCAGCTAACTTCTCTTTTACTGTCTAAAGTTTTGCTTAATTTTTATGTTAATATTGTTATTTATGTCATTGTTATTATAAAAGGACTGTTATTCTACTTTACCTTTTGCCTCAAATATAGTTGTCTAGCAATAACATTGCCAATTTTGCCTTAATGCTTTCCTGATTTTAAAATTTATTATTTTTTAGTAAGTTACTCTCATTTGTGTCTCTTTACACAGCAAATTTTCAGATTTGGGTTTTTAATTCAAACTGAGTTTTTGCCTAGTGTATAGTAAGTACTCAATGAATAAAATGAATATTTTAAAGTGATATTTAACCTTGCTAAATTTCTTTTTGTTTTTTATCTTTTGTTTTAGGTGGGCCATAAAACATGAAGGAACCAGTAAGCCAGGCCAGTGGAAACATTCTAGAGTTGAAAATCCTCTATGGAACAAGCTTACCTACATGTGGCCTGTCCTTCCCAGTGGCCAACTTAATGAGGTTGTGTTGCTTAGCTTAAGAGATGGTCATTGAGACTTACTTTAAGGCCCAGTTGTGTGGTCAAATTCCTGACAACTTCCATATAGCTTTTGAATTGCAGCTGTTAGGTGCAAGATATCAAACTTGCTAATTCTGTTGTTCTATCAATTAATTAGATGTGTTTAAGTCTCCCATTATGGAGATGAACTTATCTATTTTTTCTTGTAATCTGTCAAATATTGCTTCATATATTTTGAGATTTAATTCTTAGGCACACACGTGTTCAAAATATTATATCTCCCTGGTGGATTGAAACTTCTATTATTATGTAGAAACTGTCACTAGCTCTAGTCACTAGTCTCATTTATCCAATACTAATAGAAACATTCCAACTTTCTTTTGGTTATTATTTTCCTAGTATATCTTCTTTCCACCCTTTCCTTTCTGTGTTTATATGTTCTTCTGTTTTAGAGGGGCTCCCAGTAATCAGCAAGCATATGGTTCATTTAAAAATTTTATCTGGCAATTTTTGTCTGTAGTCTAAAGTATTTGGTCTTTTCTATGTGTTGCAATTACAGGTGTGAATTGTATTTGGATTATTATGTGCTTTCTATTTGTCCTGGCTTTTCTGTTTTCTCCCCTCACCCCTTTCTTGTGTTCTTTCAGACCAAATGTTTTTTTTCTCATTACATTTTCCCCATCAACTAGTTTGGAAATTATAACATTTTTATTCTGTTTATTTCTGAACATTTTAGCTTGCATACCTAAAATGATCAAAGTTTAAAGATAACAAGTATATTAATTTGTTACTTTCTTCTGTCAAATAATCCAATCATATGATTTGTGACTTATATGCTATTATAGTAATATAGTGTAATTTTATCTTTTAATAATTTTCCATTAGATCACATTGTGTGTAGTCAATATATATTTAGAGTTATCCCCAATTTTTCATCTTTCTGGTTATAATTTCTTCGTATGTTCCAGTCCTTCCACCTGGGCTACTTTCTTTTAGCTGAATACAACCTTCTTTTAGTTATTGATAGCAAGCTCTTCTCATTTTTACTTATCTGAAAATGTCTTTATTTTGCCCTTATTCATGTAAGGTATTTTCACATAGCAAAGCAAATACATCATCACTGACTTCTACTTTCCATTGTTGTTATGGAGAGGTCAGCTGTCATTCTAAATGTATTCCCATGTAGGTATCTATCTTTTTTCTCTGGTTGGTTTTAATATCTTCTCTCTGGTATTCTACAGTTTCAGCACAATATATCTGGGAGAAGATTTCTTTTTATTTATCATCCTTCAGATTCTAAGATTCTTTGGGGTTCTTGAATCTGTGGATTGGCATCTTGCAGAATTTCTGGAAAATTATCACCTATCAACTCTTCAAATATTTTCTCTCTTATATTCTCCCACTCCCTTATTTTTTCTTTAAAAATTTATTTATAATTATTATGGACACGTTGTATTTATACATAATTTATGAGATACATGTGATGTTTTGATACAGGCATATCATGTAGTGTGTAATGATAAAATCAGAGTAATTAGAGTATCCATCACCTCAAGCATTTATCATTTCTTTGTTTTAGGAACATTCCATTTCTACTATTTTGGTTATTTAAAAATATACAGTAAATTGCTGTTTAGTCATTCTATCGTGCTACTGACTACTAGATCTTATTCATTCTATCTAAACTGTAGTTTTGTACCTATTAAACAACCTCCCTTTATTCCCTCCTCCCCGCTACCTTTCCCAGGCTCTGGCAACCATCATTCTAGTCTCTATCTCCATGAGTTAAATTTTATTTATTTTTTTGCTCCTATGTATGAGTGAAAACATACAATATTTGTCTTTTTGTGCTTGGCTTATTTTACTTAACAAAATGTCCTCCAGTTCCATGTGTGTTGTTGCAAATGACAGGATTGCATTCTTTTTTATGGCTGAAATACTTTACTGTGTATACAACATTTTCTTTGTCCATTCATCTGTTGATGAATACTTAGGTTGATTCCATATTTTGCCATTATGAATAGTGCTGAATAGTGCTGCAATAAACAAGGGAATGCAGACATTTCTTTGATGTATTGGTTTCCTTTCTTTTGGATGTATATCCAGTAGTGGGATTACTGGAACATATGGTAGTTCTATTTTTAGTTTTTGGAGGAACCTCCACACTGTTCTCCATAATGGCTGTACTAATTTACATTCCCACCAACAGTGTAGGGTTGGTGGGAGAAAAGGTTTCTCTTTCTTCTTATTCTCACCAGCATTCATTGTTGTCTTTCTTTTGGATAAAAGTCATTTTAACTGGGGTGAGATGATATCTCATTGCAGTTTTGATTTTCATTTATCTGATGATTAGTGATATTGAGCATTTTTGCATATACCTGTTTGCCATTTGTATGACTTCTTTTAAGAAATGTCTATTCAGCTCTTTTGCCCATTTTTTATTATTATACTTTAAGTTCTGGGGTACAGGTACACAACGTGCAGGGTTGTTAAATGGGTATACACTTGCCGTGGTGGTTTGCTGCACCCATCAACCCATCATCTATATTAGGTATTTCTCCTAATGCTATTCCTCCCCTAGCCCCCACCCCCCGACAGGCCCCATTGTGTGATGTTCCCCTCCCTGTGTCCATCTGTTCTCATTGTTCAACTCCCACTTATGAGTGAGAACATACGGTGTTTGGTTTTCTGTTCTTCTGTTAGTATGCTGAGAATGATGGTTTCCAGCTTCATCCATGTCCCTGCAAAGGACACAAACTCATCCCTTTTTATGGCTGCATGGTATTCCATGGTGTATATGTGCCACATTTTCTTTATCCAGTCTATCATTGATGGGCATTTGGGTTGGTTTCAAGTCTTCGCTATTGTGAATAGTGCCACAATAAGCATACATGTGCATGTGTCTTTATAGTAGAATCATTTATAATTCTTTAGGTATATACCAAGTAATGGGATTGCTGGGTCATATGGCATTTCTGGTTCTAGATCCTTGAGGAATCACCACACTGTCTTCCACAATGGTTTAACTAATTTACACTCCCACCAACAGTGTAAAAGCATTCCTATTTCTCCACATCCTCTCCAGCATCTGTTGTTTCCTGACTTTTTAATGATCGCTATTCTAACTGGCGTGAGATGGTATCTCATTGTGATTTTGATTTGCATTTCTCTAATGACCAGTGATGATGAGCTTTATTTAATATGTTTGTTGGCTGCACAATTGTCTTCTTTTGAGAAGTATCTATTTATATCCTTTGCTCACTTTTTGGTGGGGTTGTTTGCTTTTTTCTTGTAAATTTGTTTAAGTTCTTTGTAGATTCTGGATATTAGACATTTGTCAGATGGATAGATTGCAAAAATGTTCTCCCATTCTGTAGGTTGCCTTTTCACTCTGATGATAGTTTCCTTTGCTTTGCAGAAGCTCTTTAGTTTAATTAGATCCCATTTGTCTATTTTGGCTTTGTTGCCATTGCTTTTGGTGTTTTAGTCATGAAGTCTTTTCCCATGCCTATGTCCTGAATGGTATTGCCTAGGTTTTCTTCTAGGGTTTTTATGGTGTTAGGTCTTATGTTTAAGTCTTTAATCCATCTTGAGTTAATTTTTGTATATGGTGTAAGGAAGGGGTCCAGTTTCAATTTTCTGCATATTGCTAGCCAGTTTTCCCAACACCATTTATTAAATAGGGAATCCTTTCCCTGTTGCTTACTTTTGTCAGGTTTGTCAAAGATCAGATGGTTTTAGATGTGTGGTGTTATTTCTGAGGCCTCCGTTCTGTTCCATTGGTCTGTATATCTGTTGTTGTAGCAGTACCATGCTGTTTTGGTTACTGTAACCTTGTAGTATAGTTTGAAGTCAGGTAGCATGATGCCTCCAGCTTTGTTCTTTTAGCTTAGGATTGTCTTGGCTATGAGGGCTCTTTTTTGGTTCCATATGAAATTTAAAGTAGTTTTTTCTACTTCTGTGAAGAAAGTCAGTGGTAGCTTGATGGGGAGAGCACTGAATCTATAAATTACTTTGGGCAGTATGGCCATTTTCACGATTTTGATTCTTTCTATCTATGAGCATGGAATGTTTTTCCATTTGTTTGTGTCCTCTCTTATTTCCTTGAGCAGTGGTTTGTAGTTCTCCTTGAAGAGGTCCTTCACATCCCTTGTAAGTTGTATTCCTAGGTATTTTATTCTCTTAGTAGCAATTATGAATGGGAGTTCACGCATTATTTGGCTCTCTGCTTGTCTATTATTGGTGTATAGGAATGCTTGTCATTTTTGCACATTGATTTTGTATCCTGAGACTTTGCAGAAGTTGCTTATCAGCTTAAGAAGATTTTGGGCTGAGATGATGAGGTTTTCTAAATATACAATCATGTTATCTGCAAACAGAGACAATTTGACTTCCTCTCTTCCTATTCAAATACTCTTTATTTCTTTCTCTTGCCTGATTGCCCTGGGCCAGCCACTTCCAATACTATGTTGAATAGGAGTGGTGAGAGAGGGCATACTTGTCTCATGCCAGTTTTCTAAGGAAATGTCTATTCAGCTCTTTTGCCCACTTTTTTTGTTAGGTTATTTGATTTTTTTTTCCTATTGAGTTGTTTTAGCTTATGCATTCTAGTTATTAGTCCCTTCTCAGATGTGTAGTTTGCAAATATTTTCTTCCATTCTGTGGGTTGTCTCTTTACTTTGTTGATTGTTTCGTTTGCTGTTGCAGAAGCTTTTTAGCTTGATGTGATCCCATGTTTTCATTTTTGCTTTGGTTTCTTGTGCTTTTGTGCTGTTACTCAAGAAATTCTTCCCAGACTATTCTTGTGCTGAAGTTACTTCTTAATGTTTTCTTCTAATAGTTTCATAAGTTTAGGTCTTAGATTTGATAATTTAATTCATTTTGATTTTATTTTTGCATATGTTGAGAAATAGGGGTCTAGTTTCATTCTTCTGTATACGGATATCCATTTTCCCCCAGCACCATTTATTGAAGAAGGTGTCCTTTTCCCATGGTATGTTCTTAGCATATTTGACAAAAATGAGTTCACTGTAAATGTGTGAATTTATTTATAGGCCATCTATTCTATTCATTTAGTCTATATGTTTTTATGCCAGT
Source organism: Homo sapiens (assembly GCF_000001405.40). Classification (NCBI taxonomy): domain Eukaryota; kingdom Metazoa; phylum Chordata; class Mammalia; order Primates; family Hominidae; genus Homo; species Homo sapiens. Next base: position 30,947,349 of record NC_000011.10, on the reverse strand, counting down.
ACCATGCTATTTTGGTTACTATAGCTTTGTAGTACAATTTCAAGTCAGGTAATGCTTCACTCTGTTCCTTATAGAAATCTGATTAGGTGCACACAAGACCTTATTTTGACTTCCATGTCTCTTAACTCTTCTTTAATATTTTTCATCTCTTTGTATCTTTATGATGCATTTTTGCATCTTATTTTCAGACATTTTTCTTCCATATTATTAATTTTCTCTTCATCTTTGTCTAATATTATTTAAACTCCAAGGATCAACCTGTGATATGAATCCTCAATGATTATTTTTCTTCACACAGTGAAAATGTTTGAGATAGTCTGTTTTACTTGTAACATCCTGGAAAAGTATTATTTATGGTTTACGTTTTCAGTGAAATTTAGCCTGTTGTGATTCTTGTTTTATGAAGGGAGATGGTCTCCTGTTAGATTTCCTTTCTTGGCTGACCTTTGGAATATGTGTCCTGAGCCCTTCCTCTGCAAGACCAAATTCCATCCAGATAAAAGCTAGGTTGAGCATTCTGCTTATCTCTCTGGATCTCTAGTATGTAATATTTTATTTCTAGGTCAATGGCACAGTCTAAAAGATTTTTTAGAAATAATTTATCCTGACTTTTTAGTTGTTTGCAGCAGAGAGTCAATCAACTTGTCTAATTTGTCATATTTTCTGGTCTCAACCAAGTTTTTATTCTTTCCTCTTAAAAATCATGATCCCCTGTGCTTTCTCACTGATTGAATCAATGAGTTGCAGCACTTTTGATCATGAACAGATGGAGTCTGAAGCCAAGAAGTCATTGTTTTGGCCCCTAAAGATGTTCTTAAACTTAGACTTTAGTGAAGCAACAGTCTGGAAAACATAAGTTTTGTTAAAAGAAAAAAAGAGTTATTCAAAATAGCAAAAGCATTGTGGTGGGCAGTCTAAGCCAGTGGCTGGATGAATTAATATGTTTGAAACTCAGGGTTTGAGGGCCCACATGGGGCCAAGCATGAAGGGGTGGCATGGAGAGACAAGGAGGCCAAGCATGAGCCAAGAAAAGACTGAATTGCACCGATTTCTCTACAGAGGTTTAAGGAGGATGAGGCTAAAACCAGAGATCAGGCAGGATAACGTACACCACTGCTGGTGGTAAGCAGGTGCCAGCAGGTTGCCTAGTAGCCAAATAGGGCAAGAGGAATATCCTTAGAGGCCTCTGAGAATCCAGGACATCACAAGTACCTCCATATGGACACTGTGGACCTCTTTCCCAATGGTATATGATTTATTGAGTTTTCATATGAACTCAGAAACCATCTTCAGGGGGAAAAGTGTATCTCTGAAAGGAAACAACAGTCCTGTTAAGAAGTTTGAACCTTCAATTTGATTGAATAGGTACTCAAAAGGACAGAGCTAAAAAACGAACAAAAAAAGAGGCTGTTTTAAATAGGCAGAAACTGGGACACTTCTAGTTGGAATATCAAGCTTCCCACCCACCTAATGGATGGGTGGTGAACAGAGCTGCCTCACAAGAAGATACTTTTTTTATGTAGGGAAAGAGAAACAATTATAATTATTACAAATTTCATAGATTGTGCATATCTATCTATAGATAGATAGACAGACAGACAGATAGATAGATAGATAGATAGATAGATAGATAGATAGATAGATAGATAGATTTTTGAGATGGAGTTTTGCTCTTGTTACCCCGGCTGAAGTGCAATGGCACCTTCTTGGCTCATTGCAACCTCTGCCTCCTGGGTTCAAGCGATTCTCCTGCCTCTGCCTCCTAAGTAGCTGGGATTACAGGCATGTGCCACCATGCCTGGCTAATTTTGTATTTTTAGTAGAGGTAGGGTTTCACCATGTTGGTCAGATTGGTCTTGAACTCCTGACCTCAAGTGATCCACCCACCTCGGCTTCCCAAAGTGCTAGGATTGCAGGCATGAGCCACTGCACCTGGCCAATATTGTGCATATATATATATAACTTGGCATAAAAGTACAAGTAATTCAGTTAATTAATTGATTTAAGTGATTAATGGTAATTATATTAGAAAACCTAAGTGAACAAAGTTCCTTTTAATATTTACTTTAAAAATGACATTTTTGGCCAGGCGCGATGGCTCACACCTATAATCCCAGCACTTTGGGAGGCTGAGGCGGGCAGATCATGAGGTCAGGAGTTGGAGACCAGCCTGACCAACATAGTGAAACCCCGTCTCTACTAAAAATACAAAAATTTGCCGGGCATGGTGGCAGATGCCTGTAGTCCCAGCTACTCAGGAGGCTGAGGCAGGAGAATTGCTTGAACCCAGGAGGCAGAGGTTGCAGTGAGCTGAGATTGTGCCACTGCACTCCAACCTGGGAGACAGAATGAGACTCCGTCTCAAAAAAAAAAAAAAAAAAAAAAAAAAAGACATTTTTGTTGATGGTCTGTGATTTGACAATTACATAATCTTAGGCATGAATACAAACTACTTCAAAGTTCTCTAGGCTATTCAAACAGAACAGTAGCTTTTGTGTGGAGTAGATAAATTACTGCACCCCAACAAAAATCTGTCCCTTACTTGTAAACCAAAAGGAAAGAACTAAGGCACTACAGTAGCTAAAGATAGACAAGTTGACTATGTATTTCAAAATGACTCAGTCTAAGGGTCCTCCTACTTATTGAAATGTCTGAGGAAGAGAAGAGAATACTTACCAAGCAGGGAAACTCAAATTTAAAATTAAATACAGTGTATTTCACTTAAAGTCTGAATCCACCTTATTTGAAGGAACCATATTTTCTTCCAGTCCTATTTTCAAGCAACTGATTTTTTTTTAGCAGAACAAACTCTATTTCAGTGAACAGTTAAATGCAATTCATATTTTGGTTGGAAAGCTTTCCATATAAATAAACTGTGATTAGGAAATGTGACACTCATATTGTGGCATTCAGAATACTTTGGGTACTATAAGCATAAATAATAATTTTATACCGGATTTAAGTTTCCAACTTTACTATTTATCTAACCATTATGTCTTACATATTTAGGCAATGCAGACAGAGCAAGGAAGGAGATAGACTTGGTTCCTAAGTTCATGAAGCTTACAGATTAAGAAGTATAAGCTATGAGTCAACAAGGAAGAAACAAGAAAAGGAAGGAGACAGAGTTGATGAATAAAGGAGAAGGAAGGGAGAGAGAAGAAACTCACAGAAAAAGTTTGGTGTTCCAGAAATCAAGGCTATGCATTGAGCCAGTTTATTTAGTCATATAGTCACTGTGAAGAAAGATCAGCTGGGCTGATTGTCCAAATGGGCCTGAAAATTAAGTAAAAATACTAAATCTAGGAAAACCATCTAACAAACAACACCCTGAGTGAGACTCCAATTCTCCTGTTAGTTCCTTGACAAGAAACTTTCAAAATAGAATGATGACTAAGGAAGTATGAACAATATAGAAATATGGAATTATCTTGGTAATGTCTCAGACTGCATTAATACTAAAAACTATGTACCTCTCAGTGGTGACAGCTGCTTTGAGAACTGATTTCATGCTGTCCTCACTTTTAAATATTATTCATACTAAAAGGCAATTGATAATATTTTTATGAACAAACAGCATTTAATATATCTAGGGATATCAGTATTTTTTAAATATGGTAAAGCCTTATTGAAAACCAACATTAATAAATTCTTTTGGTTTCTTTTGTGACTAAGTTCACTGGAAAAAATTAGAGGAACTCAAGTTATTTTCTCACTCTATGGGGGAAAAGTTGTGAATTGAAAAATTGTGCTTCTAAACACTTAAAGGTAAGGAGCAATGGATTTTCATATTCAAGGAAGGAATTGTGGTAAAAAGTAAGATTAAAAAGATGTACGATTTTGGAATGAGCTGTTGGATAGTTATTTTAAAGTATCTAAATTAAAATATATCCATTTGGACGGGCCATGCCAGACAGAACAAAGCTAAAAGTTTATTACTCTATTGAGAGATGATAATAAGTAGCTACCAGAATAAAGAGGGGGGAAAAGGAGACGTGGGAAGGCTCAGGAGAGAACATTGAAGAATATATTATATTGTTAATAGCAAATAGATAAAAGAGGACTAATATAGCTATGAAACTTAGATTGCTGGTTAAGAGCTGGACTCCCAAAACGAACACATGCTCTCTCTCTTATGAGAGAGAGATAAAAAAAAAAAGAAGAATGATCAATTTAAGGGAGCACCACAGCTCATCTAGGGTCTCCCGACTGTGGAGCTGTGACATAGAGCAGTGTGAACACAGAGAAAACCAATAAAGACATGCATGGGAACATAAGAATTCCAACTGAGAAAATGGAGGGAGAAGAACCAGCACTCCAGTCAGTTTAATTACATATCTGTACTTTTTGTTGTCCTTCATTATCCCAACGCCTTATTTCTCTATGTCTATGAAGGACAGAATGAAAGTGCCTGAAACACCAGAACGAGAATTAAAGCAGCTTAAAGGAAGAACCGACAGTAGTAGTTAACATTTGTAAAGTTTTGAAACCCAAGTTAACGTTTTAATCTCATTTAATTGGGTTTCTGTGATGTCTCACATTAAAAAGAGAAGACTCTTGGGCTTCCTTCGTCTAACTGGAAAGTAAAAGAAGCCATCCAAAGACAGCAGTGCTTCAGTAGTGCCAAAGCCAATGTCTGCAGATGCTACCATTTGCCATGGGACAAGTTGGAAGTGAGAAAATGTAGAAATAGCTAGGAGCTAAGACAGCACACTTCAGATATGTTCATCAGAAATATAGCATACTTGGGATATTGAAAAGAACAGTTACACACCCTGAATCTATGAATCGACATGTATCACAGACAAAGCATGAAGGAGAATCTTGTTTCTTTTGCCTTTCCCTGCCATGGTTCAGAAAGAAAGAGATATATTAGCTATTTTACACCAAGACTTCAATGCAACAGTAATTTTCTAATGAGATTCCCTCACCATCTCTCTCACCTACCCAACCCTTGCTTCATGATCTTTTATGACTGAAACTAGTATAAAAGTTGATTTTCTCCATCAACTAAATTGTTCAATATCTCCGCTATAGAATAGTTACAGACAAATCCCAAACATACTTATTGAAGTTATGTGACTCCATCCCACTACTTCCCTTTATACAACAGGCCAATTTCAAATAAAAATATACAATGAAGTTGTCATAACCTTTGATAATTTATTCTCAGTAACCATAATAAGAAAAAACAGCCCCATGTTGCTCCATTCATAGATAGCAGACACTTATCTAAATAAACACTTGATCATCTACCCTCTGCAATATTATTTCTGTACTGGTGAAAGTTTCTCAGTGAGGTTTAGGAATAAAATGAAGCTTCTGTAGTTCAAATTTTTCTTATTTAGAATTGTGTTAAGTCACCCTTATTGTTTGTCGCTGTTGTTAACATGTTTACCAAGCAAGATATTCTAGTAAAAATATAAAGGAAAAAACATTTAAACTGAAATCATTCTGCTCATCTGATTTTTAAACACTTATTTATACTGCTTTTCTCCTAATTAAATGCAATTAATGGTATTTATGCACTCATCTCACAAATTTGTGCCTCATGATTAGATGCTTTTTCAGTAATCTTCACAGTTTTCAGATTTTGTTTATAATTTATTTACAACACTTTCTACAACATAATTGCAAGATTCAAAAACTTTTCAGGGAATGTAAGTTAATATAATAATGTATGTTGTCCTAGCTTTTAAAAATTTTGGAATATTACTAGTAAATTTCCAAAATTTTTAAAATTTAGAAAATTACTAGCTTTGGAAATTTTAGATTGACTAGGTAAGGCTTCATTGAGGTGATATTTGAGTAAAGACCTGAAGAACAAGCAGATCTCTAGGAAAATAGCATGCCAGGAAATGTAAACAACTGAGATGATGTGTTTAAGGGACATTGAGGTAAAATATGACAGAAGCAGTGTGAGTGAGGGAGAGGGCAGCAGGGGAGAAGGTCAGAGAGAAAATAGGAGGTACTGATCATGCAGGGCCTTCCATGTCATTATAAGGCCTTTGGCTTTTAGTCTGAGATAGAAAGCCGTGGGAGGGTCTGGAGCAAAGGAGTGATATGCTCTGACTTAAGGATAAATAGGATCATTATGACAATAGAGTAAAATGGGCTGAGGTAGAAACAGGAATAAGCAATTGGAAGGCTTTTGCAGTCTCTAGCTGAGAAGAAATAATTTCTTGGACCAGGATGGTAGGAATGGAGGTGATGAAAAGTAGTTGGGTCCTTGATATAGGGTCCTTGATATAGTCTAATAATGCAAGCACATTTAACTGATAGATTAAGTTAAAAATAAATAGCTAAAATAATTTTATAAGACCATATATTAGAAATTTACAAAGATGTTTTAACTAACTTGTGAGACGAAGAAGAAAGCATAATGAAAATTTTAAAAAGGAAACATTTAGAATCAAAGCAAAAGGTGTTAGAATCAGCTAAAGCATACTTGAAGGAAATTTATAGCCTTAAATGCTTATATTAAAATGGAAAAGAGGCTAAAAATTAATGAGATAAGCATCTGTTCTGCCAATGGTGACAGAATGAAGTCAAAGAATTAGAAGGAAAGAAATAGTAAATTGTAAGAGCAGAAACCAATGCTCTTACATCAGAAATAGATGATTCATATAAACCAGAGTCATCAAAGTCAAATTTAGGTTCTTTGAAAATATTAATAAAATCGATATAATTGTCAAAACTGATTAAGATAAAAAATAATAATATTAAAAATGTTACCAAAACTCCAGGGGTTCAGTCTAGGTCCTGCTGCTTGTCACACAGAAAGCCAATCACTGAGACAACCAATATTGCCAGGCAAGAAGGCTTTAATCTCATTTAACTGGGCTGCAGCCAAGGAGATAGGAGATCAGTTTCAGATCTATTTCCCTGGCCCATTAAAATTAGGGGTTTATATAGCAGGAAAGAAACACAACCGTGTATGGAAAAACAGGAACTGGGGAGAGGTAAAGAAGAGGGGTTGGTCAACAGGAAGCAGGTGGTTAGTTAGGCAATCATAACAACTGGGGGTCTGGCATCTCATTGTCCAGATACAGTGATCTGGTATGTTTTAGTTCCTTGATGCTGTCTGGGAGGCCTGATGATTGGCTTCCTGAGAAAGGAACTCAGATAAGACAAATGTAACTTTCTCAAGTTTCGAGACTGGAAGGGTCAATTTCTATGTTTATTCAAGACAAATGATTAACATAAGTTCTATGGGATAATTGGGCCAGTTTCAAGAATAAAAGATATGAATATAGACACTGAGATTCAGAAGATTGCAAAAGAATATTACAAGTAACTTTGTGCTAATAAATATAGTAGCTTAAATAAATAAAATGGCCAAATTTCTGGACAAAAGTAATGTAACAAAATGGACCCAAGAAGAGACAGCCTTAATAGTCCAAAAACCATAGAAAAAATAGAATCAGTAGTCAAAATTTCCACACAGAAATAATTTCATGATCTAATAGTTTTACTGACAAATTCTACTAAACATAGGAAACAAATATTTCAGAATATAAGAAAAGAAGTGTGAAAAAACCTTTTAAATGGTCCATTTTCAAGACATGATAAATCAAGTACTGACAGCCAGCCTGCAAATGTAACAAACTGCTCAGCTCATGTACCTAGAAGGTCACAATAAGCAAACAAAATGTAGAGGTGGGGTCAGCTCATTAAAGAGAAGAAAGTTTCATTATTGGGAAATTGAAACTTAAGAGAGGAAAGGGACGGTTTATAACCTTACAAGGGGAATAATGAAACTTAGGCAACATTTGGGAAGATTTTAACCCCATAGTTCTCAACCAGTGAGGAACTGGGAGAGGGACTTGTGTGGTGAGGGATAAATTACCTGTTGTGACTGCCCTGGATGTGCCTGCTCACCAGACACCTGATCTTGCAAGACTGTTATTAAAAACTCTCACTTTTGCTGTTCTTTGTGCCTCTAAGTCCATTCTTTGGGTTTGGACGGGTGAGTGTGTTTCTCACAACCTGGTGGTCCATCCAGGATCTCTGTGCCTGCATAGAGTGGGACTCCAGCCAAGAGGGGAGAGGTGTCCCAACCAATTTAGGTGGCCCGCTCTCTCTGGGTGTCCCAGCTCCCCACTGAAGCCATAGATAAACCTGAGACTGTTATTCAGGAGACAGTGGAGGTAACAGGGAGAAAAGCAAGCCCTGCGGCAACCAGGCAACCTCGTGCATGAGCCAAGATAGGAAAATTGGACTATAAGTACTGCCTTGGTAGTTGGGCATTTTCAGAGGTCGAGTATGTGTGTCTGAGATGTATCCTAGATACAAAGCAAGTGTGGAGTCCCAGTCTGTGGTTCCATTATCCCGCGAGGGAAACAGCTGGAGACAGACAAAGCAGTTGACTCACAGGGTGTAAAAGAAACCTCCAATAAGGGGGGTTGAGTACACAGGAAAACTCAGACATGAGGACCAGCTGAAAATGGGAAGCAAAAATTCTAGGCCTAGGGAACAAAGGAAGGAGGGAGCCAACGTGGCCCCCTCCAACATTCCCACAGATAATTCACTGGGAAGGATGTTACAGGCTTGGGGAAATAACCCCCAAACTATGGATAAGGAAAAACAAAAAATGATAAAGTATTGCTGTTTTATCTGGCCCAAAGACCCCGTTAGTATGCCTTCGGTCTTTTGGCCTAAGATTGGCTCAGATGGGGATTGGGTGTGCCAAGCTTTAATTCTCTATGTGAATAATAAAACCCCATCCTCACAAGAAGAGATGGGTTATGCTCTCTGCTGGATCAAGTAATTAGCCCCCATGTTCCCCCTCAAAGAAGAAAGGAAAAAAGGGATAAAGTAAGAAAGGAAATCAGAAAGAGAAAGGGGAGGAAACAGCAAATGTAGAGGGCCAGAGAGGGAGAGAAGGAGTTAAGCTGCTGACCCTGAAGGCAGGGGAGAGCCAGCTGCACAACTGTGTGTGAGAGCTGGCTGCTAAAAACTTGATAAAAGCTGCTGCTGAATCTTTGTCGTTTCAGCAGAGCTGTCCGTCTTTGCAGACAGACAGGAGGGAGCCAGGGCACAGCACGGCTTGGCTCGTGCCCAGAGAGAGAAAGAGGAAGAAACTGAGTGTTAGGGAGAAAGGAAACAGGAGATGATAGAGAGAGAGAGAGATAGAAGAAGAAAAATGAACGAGAGAGAAACTGGAAAAGACAGAGATCAAAGAGAGACACAGAAGGTGAGACTGGGGAGAAAAATAATGTAAAAGGAAGGAAGAGTACAAGAGGAAGTGAGAGGATGTGGAGAGGTTGGCAGGGCTCGGGGAAGGTTCTGGAGGTTCAAGCAAGGAGGTGCAGGGAAAGGGTGCAATGAGGCCATTGAGGAGGAACAGAGCCCGGAAACTGGTGGATGCAAGTGACAAAGGGATGTGGAGGAGAGTTTAGGATCAGGCTGCTTGAGGAGTAGTGGGTTGCCTGCAAAGTAGCTGTTTGTCAGCAGGCGGTAGAAAGGATTCAGGTTATGGAAGGGTAAATGGATGAGATAACCATTAAAGGTTTTGTTGTTGTTTTCCTGAGAGGCTGTAAGTCCACTGGGGGCAGCTGTCAGTAAGGCTGTAGAAGGGTTGGGGAGCTACATAAGGAAGATAAAATAGAAACTGTGGAAGATTGATGGATGGAATGAAAAACCGATTGAGGAATTACTGAGGGAAGCTCAGAAGGTCTTTGTAAGGAGAGAGGAAGATAAGCAGAAACAAAAAGTGAAAATCATGGTTTCCACTGTGGAATAGGTAGTCAGAAAAAGGTTAGATCAAGATCTCCCTCGAAGGAGATGAGGGAATGATAGATTTCGACACAGGGAAGGAAGGGAAAGGCAGTGAAAAGCTCCTAAGACTATGAGTGGATGTTACAAGTGTGGAAAGCCTGGGCATTTTTAGAGAGAATGTCCTGGATGGAAGAAAAGGTGATCCCCCTCATGACCATTGATGAGGACTGGGGGAGTCAGGGGTTCCTTTTGAGTAGGTCCCACCAGGAACCCTTGATAAATTTGAAGGTGGGACCTGAGGGAGAAAAAGTGACATTTTGGGTTAATACTGGGGTGGCTCGCTCCTCCCTAATTCACCAACCAAGGGATACAGAACTCTCTAAGGGAAAATTAGCAGTATCAGGGGTAAGAGGGGAGGGATTTGAGGTTCTGATATTCAAGAAAATGTTAAATGGAACCACAACAAATTGAGGGGTCACTCTTACATGTTTCTGAAGCAAGAACTAACCTCCTGGGTAAAAACGTAGTTGTGAGGTTGGGTTTAGGATTAAGAATAGAGGAAGGACAAATAAAGGTAATGATGAGCCTCCTAATAGAGGAGAAGGAAAGAAAAATTAATCCCCTTGTGTGGGTTGGGGAAGGCAACAGGGGAGGGTTAAAAATCACACCCTTACAGATTGAACTAAAACAACCATGAGAAGTAGTTTGCAGGAGCAATATCCCATTGCTATTTAAGGGAGAAAAGACTTCCAACCAGTAATGGAGGGATTAATTAAAAATTGACTATTAGAACCTACGTATCACCATAAAATATTCCTTTGTGTCGCTTATCTGGGAGGGAGAGTTTCTGTGTCTGTTCCCAGACATCTTCCAGCTGCAGGCATCTTCCCCCAGTCTGCTTTTAGCTTCCCTTAGTGTGCCTAAAGGGAAAGGAATGTGCTTATTAAGGCCCAGTGTTTCTACTGGAGCCCACTGTATGAATGTGAAGTTTGGTGATAACCCAGGAGTCTTCCCCACTCCCTTTCTGTGCTTAAGCTGTTTATCTGTCATTTACAACCTCAACTTTCAGGCTGCCCTTTGTTAGAAGAGAGTGATTTCTTTGAACTGCATGAGCTTAGGAAGGAAGGTACCTCAAGGGTGTTAAGGGAAATTATGGAAGGTTTACAAATTAGAAGGGATTATCACACCCCTTGGCATCCCCCTTCCTCTGGAAAGGTAGAAAGAATAAATCAAACTCTCAAAAAGCATATCACCAAACTAATCATAGAAACTAAAATGCTTTGAACCAAATGTCTCCCATTAGCACTCATTAGGATTAGGACAGCCCCAAGAAAAGACTTGGGATTGTCCCTCTATGAGTTATTATATGGACTCGCATATTTGGACAGGGCTACAGATCTTCCTACTATGGAAACCAAGGACCAATTTTTAAGAAATTATATACTGGCCATATCCTCCACCCTGTCATCCCTCAGGTTAAAAGGACTTCTGACTCAAACTCTGCCTCTTAAATTCATGGTTCACCACTTCCAGCCTGGTGACTTGGTGCTGATTAAGACTTGGAAAGAAGACAAGCTCCACCTAAACTGGGAAGGTCCCTATTAAGTGTTCCTAACCACTGAGACCGCTGTGCAAACAGCTGAATGTGGTGGACTCACTATACTCCAGTCAAGGGACTGGTAAAAGAGACCCCAGAAGGGAGGGAAAAAGACCAGTGCATGGGTCACCTGAGGAACCCTTAAAGTTAACTCTGAGAAAAATGTAAAAAGAAAACATGAGGCCAGGCACAGTGGCTTATGCCTGTAATCCCAGCACTTTGGGAGGCCGAGGCGGGCGGATCACGAGGTCAGGAGTTCGAGACCAGCCTGACCAACATGGTGAAACCCCATCTCTACTAAAAATACAAAACATAGCTGGGCGTGGTAGCACTCACCTGTAATCCCAGCTACTCAGGAGGCTGAGGCAGGAGAATCGCTTGAACCTGGGAGGCAAAGGTTGCAGTGAGCTGAGATTGCACCATTGTACTCCAGCCTGGTGACAGGGTGGGACTCTGTCTCAAAAAAACCCAAACAAACAAACAAACAGAAAACATGGGCTAGTTCCATTTCTGGAAGTTAATATGGCTGGGATGGGCTGCTATACAAAGAAGAGAAGGCCAAAATGGAAACTGGCAGGGGCCTACTCCCTACCCAATCAGGTTAGTAATTAATGTAACGAAGACGGTAGCATCCCAGACTATAAGATTTGATGCCTGCCAGGTTTTACCTTGTGGGAATTTAGAAAATCAGAGATGGCTCTCACAGGCAGATAAATATCTTTGCCCTGAACCAGATACAAGGTACAGTAGGGTGTTACCCTGCCCCAGCTGGGATGACGTATGATGGACTACCCAATTTCAGGGTTGGACAGTAACATAGGGTAAGTAACTCTGAATTGGAGACCCTTGAAGAATAAACTACATGTGTCCAAGGGGCCAAGGTCTCCCTGCCAAATAACTGCCAGAATTTAGAATGCAATCCTATACTTATCACCATTGACAATCCAGCTGTTCTAAACCAAAAACCAAAAGTAGCATCTCAGGTATATGGGTTAGGGGCTGTCAACACAGGGAAAGTTTACCCCCTAGGGTGATTTGTTCCCAAACTAATCAAGAACTCAACCTCCCATTTGTCTGGGACTACTCCAAACCCAGACCCTAATAAACACTTTACCAAACAATGACCCTAAAAGGGTAAAAACAATTGAGGTAAAGGATTTAAGGCAAACCTTAGAAATTGAGACAGGGTACAGGGATGTGAATGCCTGGATCAAATGGGTCAACTTTTTGCTACAAGCCCTCAACAAGAGTAACTGTTACATGTGTTGCTGCAGGACGACCCCAGGCACAGGTGGTTCCGTTTCCCTTAGGATGGAATATTGATCCTAAAGGAATGCATTGCATGTTGGCTCTATGCCAGGATAAGGATGCTTGGGGAAATGAGACCTATAAGACTCTGTGATTGCTCTTTCCCACGTTGCAGAGGTCGGATCCCAGAGCAATCCCTTCATTCTCTGTAGGGAATATGAACCACTCCTCTTGCCTCTCTAGGCAGGGGGCAGTATTCAGTAAGCCTGTGGGAGAACTCCCAACTTGTACCTATATCCTAAACGTCACTGGTTAGTCAAGCAATGGCAATTATTCAGCTCTCCATATACCCCAAGCTGGTGATATTGTGGGAAAAGGAACTTCTATAACCTGTTACCATCCAATTGGACCGGAACTTGTGCTTTAGTCTAATTGGCCATTCCATTCACCCTGGCATTCCACAAGATACCTGAAAATACACATGGCCACCAAAACCAGAGAGATTTGACAAATTCTTTTGATCCCAATACATATGTTGACTTGATAGGAGTCCCTAGGGGGTCGCCTAATAAATTTAAGGCCCGAAACCAAATACCTACTGGGTTTGAGTCAGCACTCTTCTGGTGGTCAACTATTAAGATTGTGAATTGGATTAACTACATCTATTGTAATCAACAAAGATTCATCAGTTATACTTGGAATGCACTCAAAGGGATGGTAAGCCAGTTTGATGCCACCAGCTGAGTGGCCTGGGAAACAGGCTTGCGTTAAGACATGATACTAGCAGAAAAAGGAGACGTATGTGTTATGCTGGGTGGAAAATGTTGTACTTTCATTCCTAACAATACTGCCCCAGATGGCACCATCACAAAAACTTTATAAGGGCTGACAACTCTAGCCAGTGAACTGGCAGAGAATGCTGGAATTGATGACCCATTTACATGTTGGGTAGAAGGTTGGTTTGGAAAATGGAAAGGCATGGTAGCTTCAATCCTTAAATCTCTTATAATTGTGGCAGGAGTCTTAACAGCAGTGGGATGTTGTGCCTCTACGTCCATTCTTTGGGTTTGGATGCGTGAGTGTGTTTCTCACAAGAAGCAATACTTTCCAATTCATTTCATGAGGCTAGCAGAAGGTTCATACCAAACCTTGAGGAAGGTAACAACTGAAAATTACATGTTAATTTCATTTATGAATGTACATGCAAAAATCTTAAAGAAAATATTAGCACATTTAATTCAACAATTTATAACAAGTGTCATACATCATGAGCAATTTTGATTTATCCAGGAAGGCAATATTAGTTTAAATTTTTAAAAATTAATGTAATTAACACATAAGTGATGAGAGTTTAGTCATATAGGCAAATCTCAGTAAATGAAGGAAAAAGAGCTTTATATGATTTAACACAAATTCAAGAAAAAATATTAACAAAATATAAATTTCTTAACCTAATATAGAGCACTTATATCCCAAATAGACTTTTAAAAAAACTAACCAAACTTATTCTTAAATGTATATGAATTAACAAAGGGCCAACAAGAGCCAATTCCCAAAAAAAGAAAAAAAAGGTGAGCATATTTGCCCTACCAGTTATCAAGACTTACCACATAAAAATATATTATAATCAAAGCAGTACATTACTATGAAGGGAAAGACAAACTGACAAACTGAAGAGAAACAAAAGCAGATCTACACTTACATGCAGTAGTGATATTTTACAGGATGGTCATTGCAGATTAACAGGAGATGCTGCCAGAGCAATGGTTTATGAAAGTAGGAAAAAAAAAAAAGAGAAAGAATAAACTTGGACCTTGCCCAGCATCATCACTGATCATCCCTTCCTGCATTTACTCTTCTTTCACACACAAGTGTCTATCTCTGTGAACAGCAATACCATCCACCCAGTTACCCAAACTGTGAACTTGGAAACCCCCTTGCCTCCTTTTATTGCCCCAGCATCATATTCTATTAATCCTCAAGTCTGATAAACCTACTCTATCCCTCTTTTTACCCATCCTTTACTGCATTAACTCCTACGAAGGCTTCAGGACTCAGTTCTATGACATTTCTGAGTTAGGTTCTCCTCCCTATGTGGTCCCATCACACCTGTAACCTGTCGTCATACTTACACTATTGTAATTGCCAGTCTATATTTAGGTAAGTTTCTGAAGACCTGCTATAAATTATTCGAGGAAGAGTATCTTGTGTGGTTCATAGTTTTATTTTTGGTGCATAATATCATGCCTAGAATATATGGTAAACATTCAAAAATATTTGAAGAATACATGAATTAATCAATAAATGATTTTATGGATAAATTGATACAAACTGAATTAAAAAGTAACTGAATTCTACAACTGAAACGTGAAATGTGTTTATGTTCATTATTTTATTTTATTTTTGCAATATTCTCCAAATATATTCCTTTTTTGCCAATTAGATCTAGTTTAAGGTGGTATTATTTCAGGCTATTTTAAAACCACTTTTGTCACATTCCTTCTTCACACTGATTAAAGATATTTAACATGTAAGCAAAAGTATTCCAAGTTCATTCGGTTCTATTTTTTCGAGAATGATGTTTCTCTGAGAGGGAATAAATCATTCATCTTGCAACATAACACAGGTTGTTACAGAAATTTTAAAAATAATTATCTTTCCTCTTCAAATAAAACATTAATTAGAATTGTCTGGAGCATCTTAGGTACCCCAATACATTTTTGTTGAATGAATGAGAGATTAAAGGTATAAACTGTGTTTAATATTTTTAAAAATCTAGACATGACCCTTCTTCTGTATTTATTATTATGTTTTTGTCATTTCTTTCTGAAGGAGTTTGATTGGCCAATACAAGGACTGCTTGTTCCGAGCAGTCCTCCCATGAAGAAACCCATCTGTAAGACAACAGAGCCATATGCCCCTGTGCGACTCAGAGTTTTGCAGAATGGAGAGAAGAATAAAAACAGATCCGTTACTATCCTTGGTCCAGATATCTCACCTGGACGGAAAACGCAGTAAGAACAACTTGTTCATACTTATTAAATACACTTTCTAGTTTGTACAGATTTTGTGTTCTTAATTATGGATGTTTTTCTGTGGGAATTCTGTATTTATTTAGCAAAAGGGCTCCCATATTCATATTTGAAGATGAAAATAGAGACTAGGACTCATTTAGTTTCTTCATCAGGAATTTGATTTGAACTCTGCTAATTTAGAAGATAATGGTTTAGAAATGAGTAGCTCTGATTTTTTAAAAGTTCTATTTTTAAAAATTCTGTGATCAGTGTATATTTGGATTAGCATTTTTGTTTGAGTTTTATAAATGTGTCTTGAAATAATTGAACTCAACATCCTTAAATATAATTTTGTAACTCCTTATATAAGTTAAATTATACACAATTATGTTTAAATCTTTAGAATATTTAATGAACAAATACAGTTCTCAAAAGTATAACTTTATATAATTTATAGTCTTCCTTGGAATAACATTTTAAAAGTTTATCACCCTAGAAAAACATTTATTGACACTTTAGCTTACCTTATTATTGGGATAAAATTTTCCCAATAGCCAATATTTTCTCCAACATTGGAGAAAAATCACCTGCTGTCTTTTCATTTCATTTTATGACAAAAGGCATCATAGATCATTGAAGAGCTCTGATGTAAAGAATGAGTTAAACACATTGTTTCTCATATTATTAGCAGCCATATTACCTCTTGACCTTTCTTTTGAGATGTTTAGAATATTTGAGGCTGCTATAATAGTTTAATACTACTTTTTTCACATTGATTAAATATACTTCATACATCGCTGAACAATGAGTAACATTCAGATTGGATGACCACTGAACTGCCTGTAAAGATGATAAAGTAAAAAATTAAACTTCAAAGTAAAGTCAAGCCTGAAATTGAATTCTTTGACGCATACATTTCATAATTAGCTCATTCTGCTAGATGTAAAATGTGAGGGTAATGTCCTTAAAGTAGTGTATGACTCTTCAAAAGTAACACCCAAAGTTAACACAAAATTTCTGTTTCTTCCTACATTCATTATTTTTCTTGTTTTCTATCTTTAATTGTGGCTCAAAGTTACATACAGATATTATCACATCAATGTTTTAAAATGCATGGTTCAGTCAGGTAATCCGAACAAATTTTAAGAGATTGAAATGGTAAATTTGGACAACTGTTCTAGCAGAGAATATGTGAAATGCTGTGCTGCCCATATGCTATGTTCATGGAACAGTATGTCCCAGTTCATCACGTATTCAGGTATTAGAGTTACTTGTTCACCATATGAATTAATTACTCCCAAATAATTAAAATACACTGGCATACACTTAACACTAAAACTCTACTACATATAGTTTAATTTCTCTGCTGATTCAGAAAGTGTTCTATAATATCATCAATAGAATTCACCCACCCCTAGAGCTGGATGTAAGTACTGGTTCACAGAAGGTTTAAATGGAAGGTCTTGGGTTACATTGCAGGGTGGCTGGTTGTCCAGCTTCAGAGAGCTCCATTCACATGGTTATCTGTATGAATGGCATCCTAGAGTTGTGCCAGGCAGAAGCCCTGCTGTGCCTTGGTGTATTTAATAAATACAAGTTACACATCTTCCAGAAGAAATAACTTCTAGTGACATATATTACTTGCATTAACCTGAAATTTATTTATAAGAAGGAGTGTTGGGCTGTTTAGTGTCTCTACAAGCAAAATCATGCTGGAAGTATGAAATATAGATATACTTTAACCAAATCTTGCCCTAGTAACATGCTGTCCTTTAGCTATTTAATAATTTACTGGAGGTAGTTTTGAGGAGTTTTTGTTGTTGTTATTGGTTCTTTCATCTACAAAGCCTAAGGAAAATCAAATAGTATTTGTTCATTACTTAGTCGGTTATTACTCTAGTGAGTGACAAGATCTTGTCAATTAGTCTTAATAGTGACTGTCGAGTTTATATAAATTAAGACCTTCATAATTTTTCTTGTGTCACAGGCAAATTTTGTCTCTCAGAAATGTAAGTTAAACAAGAAAAATTTTATAAGTTACATTTAAGGAATTTTAAGAGGAAAGGCCCCAGATGAGGCTTTGAAGTAAATTTTATATTTTAGATGATTTCAATATATATATTACTTATTAGTAAGTTATGATCTCTGAACTCACTTGAGCTCCTTAGTAGAGCTTGTAAGTCCTTTTATGACCTATCCCTGCATATTTCTCTAGCTCTATTTCCTATCAACACTCCCCCAATTCCCACTCTCAAACCACCCACCACCACTTTCCAACACTTCCTATGTGCTTAAATAATAAAAGTCTTTTGAGAATGAGTTTAGATTTCCTTTCTAGATGTTGACCCTGAATGAGACACTCTCTCCTCTCGAGTTAGTTGTGTCTACTGTGTATTCCACTACTCCAGCCCTGGGCCTTCCACCAGTACAGCACCTATCATTCAGTTTCATGATTATCTGCTTATGTTCCATCCATGAGATAGAGAACAGGGATGCTTCATTCATAGCAGATGTACAATCTGCTATGTTATGATCATAGATCATTGTGTTCTGATGAATCAAGTATTAAGGTACTAGGGAGTCACTTTGTTAGCCACATGATTAAGGGCCTACATAGGCCTTAAATTAGTGACTACTGAACGAATGAATGGTTAGTTATATTTGATCACCATTTGTAATGAAAGAACAATTAATTATAAAGTATTTGATAACTATTTCATTTAATAAAATATAGATTCTAAAAAATGCACAAAATAGTTTCCTAACTTAAAACTTTGAGCAGATGTATATTCAAATTAAGCATCTTTTTCTATGATCATCATTATTTATTTTTCAGTCTAAAAATTTTAAATTTGGGGTTAATAATAAGACAATATATGAATAAAAAATTACAGGTAAAATGAATGCAATCTCTGAATTTTCTTCAAAGTTGAAAAATTTATATTTCATAGTGTTCAGCATTATTAGAAGAGAAATAAAATAGTGAAAATATATTGTTTTACAAAATTACTCATAGTATAAATATTTATGTAATAACATGTCATGTTATGTAATATTTAAAATGAAGTTAAATATTTCATTGTGATAGTTTTTGAAACTGTATATTTTAAAGAAAGAGATTACTTTAGGGCAAATCATGATAAATTAAGACCTTATTTAATACAATGTTTTTCCCCGAAATGTCAAGGTCTATCAAATTCCCCTAGCTTTCTGAATGGCCAACTCTGTAAATATAAATTAATCTCATTTAAAAAACATATTTCACAATTTATAGCAACTTTCTTTGGTTTATATTTGCTTGAATTAAGAGTGGCGTAGTTAAATTTTTATATTTTACCTATTATAAACCAGTTTTTAAAACATGAATGTCTTAGTCTGTTTTGTGTTACTATAAAGAAATACCTGAGGCTGGTTAATTTAGAAAGTAAAAAAGTTTATGTGGTTCATGATTCTGATGGCTGGAAAGTTCAAGATTGGGCATCTGCATCTGGTGAGGGCTTCAGGCAGCTTCCACTCATGGCAGAAGGTGAAGAGGAGCCGGCAAATGCAGAGACTACATAGAGGAGAAGAAGTAAGAGAGAGGGGGAAGGTGCCAGCATCTTTTTAACAATCAGCTCTGAAATAACTAATAGAATGAGAATTCACTCATTTCCAAGGGGGGGCATTAATCTATTTATGAGGGATCTTCTATCATGACTCAAACACCTCTCATTAGGCCTCATCTCCATCATTGGAGATCAAATTTCAATATGAGGTTTGCAGAGGACAAACATCTAAACCATACCACTAACGTATATTATGTTTATGAAATATGTTGTAATTTTTTTTAATCAGTATTTTTTTACCAAATCAAGAATTAGATCACTGCTGAAAGGTTGGAGCACTTGGTATGAACTTTTTTGCAAAGTATGCCTTGTCAAATATGAGGGAATAGTTTTATTGAGTTTAAGGAAAATTATGCTATCTTTGGTTATTTAATAATTCACTCTAGACAATTTTGAGGTTCTCTTTGTTGTTGTTGATTTTTCCATGTACAAAACTGAGGTATGATCTAATAGTATAATAAGTTCCATTTTAGAATAATAGATACAGAACTTTTGTTGTTGTTGGTACCTTCTACTTTCTGTAAAGTTGCTGGCAACATAGAATATTGGAAAGACCACTGGATTAGGAGGCAAAGGAATTGATTTTAACCCCAGCATTGCCACTAACTAGCTGGAAGTCTTCAGCAAAGCCCTGTCCTTCTCCAAGGCTTGTTTTCCTCAACTGTTAACAGTCATCTGTTGTATTTATATTATGTAACATCAACCGGTGTAGGATGTTCTGCTGGAGGTTTTTGGTGTTTTTCTTTCTTCTTCTTTTCTTTTTTCTTTTCTTTCTTTCTTTTTTTCTTTTTTTTAGAACAAGGCATTGCTTGCTCTCAAGGAACTCCCAACTAACTTTTGGGGAAGAAAATTTGCTTAGTGAAACAATCAGAAAGCCACATGCAGCAGTATTTAACCATACAGAATTGAAAATAATCAAGGGATCATTACATGATGATATATTTCCTGGTTTATATATAACCAGGAAAGAGAGAGAACATTGTAAGGGGCAGCTGTCGGAGAAGGCCACAGGGAGAAGAAAGAAAATGAGACAAAAATCCAAAGCAAGAAGATAAAGAAAAGGAGAAAGCACATGACCATAGCTTCTCAAAGGTTTTGTTACGGTTTGGAAAGAACTGAAAGAGTGTAGAACAGCTCCTGGGGTGGGGTGTCCTGGCAAGTGATTAGCTTAAGAGCTCCACTGCTGTGGAGCTGTAGCTGACTGTGGATCTGGGAGGCATAGCTCCTTTCTTTAAAAATAGGGATCTTGCTATGTTGCCCAGGCTGATCTTGAACTCCTGGCCTCAAGTGGTCCTCCTATCTTGACCTCCCCAAGTGCTGGGATTACTGGCATGGACCACCATACCCAGCCTGTTTTATTTACTTCTAAGCTAACCTTAGAGAAATGGAGGGCCTGATTATCTGTTTAATTGCTTTATCCCATTGAGGATATAAAATTTAGAAACATTCTTTATAAAGCTATGTCTTGATGATGAGCATAAAGTCAACTTTATGTAATTTTGTATTAGAATGTAAAGATTATATTCTAACACAAAATATATTTAGCAAGAATCTTCTACTTCTTCCATAGGCGGGATATCCTCACAGTATTGTTTAGAAAATGCTCCATCAGTCTCCTGTAGCTCTACTTTTTCCTCACAATTCCATCTATTTACATCTGTCCTAAAGCTTGCTGTCTAGGCTCCAGCCTCTCCCACCTCCAGCCCATTTTCCACCTTTCTGACAGTTAACTTTCGGAAAAGCAGACCTGATAACACCACATATCTGCTCTAATGCCTTCAATGGCTTTCTGCTGCTTATGGGCTAGAAGGCAGGTTCCTCAGTCTAGAATCCTAAGTACTTTCAGTTGGTTTCTGTTTTCTTTTTCAGTTTCATCTGGTCCATACCCTCCTCATGTCCATACACTCAGCTCCAGTCTAGCGCTTTTTGATGAAATCCTGTTTATCCTTTAAAACCCAACCCAAATGCCACTCCCTTAGATAAGGCTTCTCTGGAAAAATTGTTTTCCCCTCTGTTCTCACAGCACGCTGGGCAGGTGCCTATGGCAGCACCTACGACTTCATATTACACTTCAATTGCTCACCTTTCTCTACCCTGACCAGACTCGGAGCTCCTCAGGGAACTACAAAACTGTCATCATCTCAATATCCACAGGGCTTGTCCGGTGCTTGTTTGGGAAGGCAGGGGGTTGTGGGAGTGGGAAATCAGTGTTCAGTGTTTAACCAGGCTAAAAACGTCTGTTTCAAAGGTAGTTGAAACAGACTACCCTCTGGTGGAGGGAGCTGAGGAACTTGGTGACAAATTAGACTTTGACAACCTTGGAGAAAGAACAAGACTACATCAGAAAAAGCCAAGGAAAAATTTTTTTAGGTAGGAGAAAGAACGCAGGCACAGAAATAGAAAAGTGTGGGGCATACCAAGGAACTAAAAGTCAATAGCAGTGTGTCTAGCTATTTATTGGTCATGTCTGGGACTGTGCTAAGAGCTCTTTTCAAAATCAACCTTTAATCTTCACAGAAACCCTGGAAGGTAAGAAATCTAGCCTTAGACAGGTTAAATAATTTGCCCAAGTGCCACAATTTGGAGAGGAAAATGAGACTCAAATGGGTCTGATGGGCCCCAGAGTCCAGCTCATGACTAACAGTCCTGCAGAGAGAGTTGTCATTATGGATTCAGGCCCCAGATTTCTTTTATTTTCTCTCTTTGCTGCTGGAAGCTTTCTGTATGCAAGGTCAATTTTTGTGTCTTTTATTACAGGTGCACTGAGATTTTAAATTTACCTTCTGCAGCTCGGAGATTGTACAATGAAAAGGGGAAGGAAATATTTGCCTTAAAAGACCTGCAAAGAGATGAACTGGTAAAGACATGGATTTGAAACTGGCAATATTAATTTATTAATACCCCATCCAAGAAAGAATCCCCTTAAATATAAGTCTTCAAATGCTTACCATTTTAATTCTTATTTTCTCTCAGAATTATCCTAACTGAGCAAACATCAGAAAGTAATACTAACAGCTAACATTATTCAGAGCTTCCTATATGTCTGGCATGGTTTTCAGAGTGGTATATAAATTAAACTTTTTTTTTTTTTTTGAGATGGAGTTTCACTCTGATACCCAGGCTGGAGTGCAGTGGCGCAGTCTTGGCTCACTGCAACCTCTGCCTCCCATGCTCAAGCAATTCTTCCACCTCAGCCTCCAGAGTAGCTGGGATTATAGGCATGTGCCACTATGCCTAGCTGATTTTTTGTATTTTCGGTAGAGATGGATTTCAACATGTTGCTCAGGCTGGTCTCACACTCCTGAGCTCAGGTGATCCACCTGCCTCAGCCTCCCAAAGTGGTGGGATTACAGGTGTGGGCCACCGCGCCCGGCCGAATTAATCTACTTAATGTTCATCATGATCCTAGACTCTAGAAATTAAGGAAGAAACTGGAGAAGGCCAAATTGTTAATCCTTTGTAATTTCTATCTCCTGCTCTGAAGGAGGTAAATTCTCTACTCTTTTTGAGACCTTCAAAATGTAGTTGTTTAATGGTTTTTTACTAAATGGTAATTTCACTTTTTCAGGACAAAATTATGTCTACTTTTTTCATACACTCTATTTGGTGACTGGAGAAGGCTGAAAAGTGGAAGGACTTTAGCAGCCCAGCCTTCCCCCTCATTTATAGAATTTGAGGCATTGGTTTGAAAAATTAAAAAAAAAGATACCTTCCTTGATTGATGCCTACAATTCTTTGAACAGAGAACAAAGCTTCTACCATTTCGTCAGAACTCAACTGAGGCCCTGAACCTAAATACTGGAGAGAGTCTTAAACAGAAGTATCAATGGCCAACATCAGAGGCAGAATCGCAGGGTGGAGAGTCTGTTGTTCTCAGAGACTGCTAGATCTCATTTTGAATCCTAATGCCATCTCTCCAAGTGTTTTGTTTGTTTGCTTTTAGTGTTTTTGTTTGGTCTGCTGTGCTATTCACTGTGGGTTTTTTAGAGAATGAATTTAAGGTAGATTACATTAAATCATACAATACAAAAAGTTAATTTAATGGTAAGTATAGATGAGGCCACCATGGCAAAGCAGGTATGAGTGGAAGGAGGATAAGATGGAGCCAGGAGTGATTGTATATTTGCTAGAAACTAATCTGTCACTGCTCTGAAGAGTAACATGAAGATGGAAACATAAACAGTTAGTTACATGATTAAATATGTCCAAAAGAGAAAAAGAAATCCGTTGTTCAAAATAAGAAATTTTTGCCTGGGTGCAGTGGCTCATACCTGTAATCCCAGCACTTTGGGAGGCCGAGGTGGGTGGATCACCTGAGCTTAAGAGTTCAAGACTACCCTGAGCAACGTGGCGAAACCCTGCCTCTACTAGAATACAAAAAATTAGCTGGGCATGGTGGCAGGTGCCTGTAATCCCAGCTACTCAGGAGGCTGAGGCACGAGAATCACGAGCCCTGGAGGCAGAGGTTGCAGTGAGCCGAAAGCATGCCACTGCACTCCAGCTTGGGCTACAGAGTGAGACTCCATCTCAAATAATAATAATAATTATTATTATTATTATTTAAAGTTTCCCCTGGGTCTTCATACACAAAATGTCGAATGTTTGTAATAATGACTTTGCAATGATCAGAAAAGGCAGCACTGAGGTTCTCTTTCTTCTTACTGAGCCTTTCTCAATATATCACTTTCTTTTCTCATCTTTAAAGAAATATTTATCCATTTAAGGACATTTAAGAAATACATATAAGCAAAAAAAAAAAAAAAAGGAGAAGAGGAAAAGTATTATCCATAATCTTGTCACCTGGCAATAGCCACATTGACATTTTGGTGTTTGTACTACAAATTCATTTATACCAGGGGTCATTAAATGTTTTCTGTAAAGAATGAGATAGTAGATATTGTAGGTTTTGTGGGCCATATGGTGCCTGCTGTGCATCAGCTCTGCTCCTGATGCATGAAAGCAGCCATAGACAACGTGTAAATGAATGGGAATAGCTGTGTTCTAATAAAACTCTACTCACAAAAACAGGCAGGGGACCAGATTTGGGTTTTAGGGATAGTTCGCCAATCTCTAATTTTGCCAATCTGTAATTTACTCCTTCCTTCCTTCTTTCCTACCTTCCTCCGTCTCTCCCTCCCTCCCTCCCTTGCTCCCTTCTTTCCCACCTCCTTCCCTCCCTCACTCCCTTCCTCTTTTCTTCCTTCCTTCCCTCTTCTTCTTAAACAATTATTTTTTAAACTTTAATTTTGAAATAATTATAGATTCACAGGATGTTGCAAAAATAATATGGTAATATACAAAGATAGTATTTTCACTTAATACAAAACTCTTGAAATTCATCAAAGTTGTTGCCTTTATCAGCAGTTTGATTTTTTTGAAAGTACTGAGTGGTACACAGTTTTCTTTAATCATTCACCTATTATATTAATAGGACATTTTGATTTTTTTAATTGTTTCCAGTTTAGATTATTACAGATAATGCTGCTGTGACAATTATATACAGGATAAGAGATGCTTTGTTTGATAGGTGTATGTTTCATGTGGAGAACTCTGGATCAATCCTGACCTGTCCATTGCTCAGCAAAAGAAACAAATATTCCTGAGGAACCTAGAATCAGACATTGCCAAAATTCAAATCTTCTGCAGCACACATAAAATAGAAGGTAAGCATTGGAATTATTTACCTTAATATATTCAGCCAAAATGAAATGCTTGATGATATTGCTTTTTAAAAAGTCAAAGTTTGTTTAAACAAGTAATATTTCACCTCTGCATCTTGCTGTTTAACTCTTTAAACTAAATTATGTGTTTGACAGGGTTGAGTATTTTAGTTCACACTACAGTTTGAATGTGCAAAGAGAACATCATCTTTTTATTTTGTCATTAACAGATCTGACCTTCTTTGTGAGCCTTATGCATTCTCTAATCATGTTTACATTTTGTTCCATCCATTAATTTAATTAGTCCCTTTAGGGAGAGCTTTCAGATTTCTCTATCTCCAGAATCTCACGTTAAGTTCCACTCTAAGATAGAAAAAAAGCACTTGGGTTGCAGATCTTCTTGCTTCCTGGGCTCTACTGTCTGAAGTCGATGACTGGAGTGACTTATGGTTCCTTCTGTTGGTTCAGACGATACTCTGGGTGGGTGTGCTACCTCCCTGATTCAGCCTTCTCTCTGCTTCCTGTGGCCCTCTGGAGCCTGACTATGACTGAGTGGTCATCTCATCACCTCTGCAGTCCTTGCTACAGAGCCACCTCACCCCTGCTTGGCATCCACTTTTGGAAAGCTCCCCAAAAAGATTCTCAGCAACTCCTGGGTCTTAGCTGCACCTCCCAGAAACCAGATCCCAGTTCACGTGGCTGGCTGTGCCTCAGATTGGAGTAGCAAGGGTAGCTCAAAAGGGGACAATGGGCAGTGTCCTCACTGTTTCCCCAGTTTAACTAAGATACCCAAAGTGAAGCCTGTAGAGAGAATCAAGACATGCTGTGCTAGTTTTCTGGCTTTCTCTGTCTTGTGCCCCAGATCCCCTCTGGCCCAGGAGTGATGGTTTTTCTCCAGGTCAATCCTGAAGTTAAACTCTTGATACAGTAAGTGGGAGCTACAGGCTTTTGGAGAAACCATAGATCATGACTGTGTCATCCTGACTTCCACGTTCGATGGCAGTATGCTGTTTGAATGTCAAAAACTATCTTTGGACTTTTGCTTTTCTTTTATAAAAGTTCTAATTTCCTCATGATCTTCCTCCTTCCATTAAGTTTTCTCCAGGAACCAGGACAAAAGTCCATATAGAGAAAAGAAAAAGAAAAAAAATTAGTATAATTTAAAACATTGCCCTATTATATATATTGAACACCGTGTAGTAAAACTTTGCATGTGTCATTCAAGGCTTTCTCTGGGACTGGGACTGGGACTTCCACTGATGAGTTTTGGATCCCAGAGAATGATCTAGAAACATATATCTAAATAATGTAGCCCATTTGAATAATTACGATATATGATAATTAACTGATCTTTGGAAAGACCAATTTTTAGTATTTTTGACTAAGAATATCTTGAGAGTAAAGAATCTATAAAAATTAAAATTAAATTCAACTGAGTTTAATAAGTAACCTATGAATAGACCAAATAGATGGAATTATTTTGCATTTGTATTTTAGTGTGTGTTTTTAAATTCCTGATGCTCTGCAATTGTAAGTAATATGTCTTTGCAATTTGTGAATTTCTGCTCAGCTCTTGTTTTAGAAGTCCAAAGTGACATTGTATCTGGAAGCAAGCTTGCTGTGCATAAACCTGTAGCAATTTTTGGAGAAGAGAAGCAAGTTACAGAACCGGAAGAAAAGCAAATGCAAGAAGATCCTCTAACAACGGAAAATGCTTCCAGTGAAATTCTGTAAGTAATCAGTGTAGCCTGAAAAGCTACCTGGCTGCTTTTTGAACTCAGCTCATTAGCCCGATAACAGCACAGAGCCCATGCAGGGAGCTCATGCCAAGTTTGTGAAACTAATGGCAGCTGAAGAGCTAGTATTTAATTAGTTTTCCGGCAAAATGATACAACTACAGCTTCGATGTTCAACCATCACAGTGATCTATTTTCAGTAATATTGTTACAATGTTATTATTTTTAAGAGGCTAGAATTTTAGGATAGTAGGCATTTATTTGAGGAATTCATCAAATTTTGTTTCCATAATCATTGACTTCAGGATAAATTAAACTTCTTCCCTAAGTTCAAGTTGACACATGTTAATATACAGTTATCTTTCTGGATCATTGAAATAGCTTTCTGATTTCTCTCTATTGCCGTAATATCTTCCTTCCAATTCCCCTCTAAGTTAAACTGTAGACAATTAACTTTCTAATGTACAATCCTTTTCACATAGTTTTTTAAGGGTACCTATTGCAGACAGAAAAACCTATTCATCTGGAATCCCAAGGCCTTCTGACCCTGGTTCATGCCTGTCATTGACCCTCATTTGCATTCCCATGCCCACTGTCTCTTTCTGCCACATGAATTCCAACCTCCAGCTCAGCAACGACAAGCTGTCGCCTGCATATTGCACATTCTGTTTATGTTCTGTTGCAGACCTCTGAGCCACATATGAATTTCTCTCCACTGCAGTGCCTTTACTTGCCCCGTACTTATCTGTAGAATGATACTTTAGCATTGAAGTCAATTACAGCAATGACTGTACGTGGCAATGTGCTTGTCAGTCCCTCTCCCCCTTGCCTACCCCTCCCTCTACCAGCCTGGGAACGTTGAGGGCAAAGATTCTGTCACATGGGTTCTAATTATCATTTACTGAATAAATGAATGAAAGATTGAATGTGTTTCCAAATTATAAAACCAAAAATACCTGGCCAATTACCTCTGCAATAATTGTGAAACTAATTTATATATCATTGTTATTAATTGTTTCTATCCTCAATTATAAGAATATGAACGTTTATTTTAGGAACCAAACTTCCTCATTTGGATGGGTGATTCAGTTGGTCCTATGACTGACACTAACAAAGGCACCAGAAGGCATTTTTCAGAGAGAATGATTGGTCCTAGATGGCATCTTTCTCAACAGTCAGGGAATTGACCACGAACTTTCACATCCCCTTCTAAAGAATGTGTCATCTAGCCTCTTAGTCTGCACTTGGAAAAAAATAAACAGAAAGTAAGAAAAAAGAAACATTTTTGAGAGCAAAGATCGTCATTGTTCTGAATCAGAGATTTCATGAAGGCCTGGAGTCCTTGAGGTTAAAAGTGATTGGGTTCTCTCAGAGTACAATGCAGGCATCTACTGCATATTCCAAGCAGGCTCTTTTGCTCAAGCCTCTTCTTGAATACTCCTAATAACAGAGAGATCACTGTTTTCAAGGAGGCCCATTCTAACATTTAAATAATTATTTAGACCATCTCCATCTTATTATTCCATATGTTTCTCTGTACTATGCCCTATACCTCTTCTACTTGGCAGCCCTTAAACTATTGGAAATATTTTTTAATATACAGGGTTATCTATTTTCCAGGCTGTCACTAGTCATTTGAACCATTTCTGATGACATGATCCTGAAATAATCCTAAATCATCTAATATCAGGAAGTCACTGTAAGATTTTTCCCAGACTTTCTTAAATGTGCTTGTTTGGAGTTTTTTGCATATTTGAAAAATGGGATGATTTAAGGAGGGACATGCATAAAGCCAGCAGCTAGAACATCAATCTAGAAGGATCCTTTTTGATTGCTTTTTTATCATAAAGGTGTCCGGCACAAACAATAAGAAAAATGGAAAAGAAATTCTAGTAGCACTTGCCTACTCTGTGCTTTGCAGGAAAAAAAGATTTTTGGAACACAGAGAGTGGGGGAAACTTTCTCATTTCCTCACTGAATCACAGGTACCTGCCCACCTCTTCAGCCTTGTCTAGAACTACCATCCCCTCACTCACTGCATACCTGTCACACCACTGTCTTTCTGTTCTTCAAGTGGGCTAACCATAATCTTGCTTCATAGCCTTTTCATTTGTTCTTTTCTCTGCTTGGAATGCTCTCCCTCTAGATCCTTACATGGCTGGCCCCTTTCTATTGTCTTTGTCTCAATTCAAACATCACCTCTCAGAGAAACCTTCTTTGACTCCATTGCTAACGTAAACCTTACCCCATCCCAGTCAATTTCCATTACAATATCCTATTTTATTCAACTTATGGCATTTATCTTGTTTATTCATTTACTTGTCTATTTAATCTCTCCTCTTCCCACTAGAATGTAAACTCCGTGAGCACTGATAACTTACCTGTCTTGTAGATGTTCAATAAATATTGATTAAAGGAGTGAATAACTAACGAATGGTTTGTTCTATGAATGAACAAATTAATAAAGCAAGATGGACTGAAAAATGACTGTTCTAAAACTGACTTGACTATACCTCATTTGCCAGGAAGTTCAAGAGCTGATAGAGAAATTCTGAGTAAGAAAGTTAAACATCTGGATTTGGGTGAAGAATCTTGTTTGCATCCTGCTAACTTTGTTAAAACTAAGAATGACTTTTTTTTTTTTCCTTTTCCCCAAAGAAATGGAATTGATGAGAAAGCTGTGCGTTTTATTTTTAACACAAGATGGCGCTGTTGTTTTTTTTAACTGTAAAGGGAGAGGTTTGCCTTCAGAAGCCGCTTGTGCTGCCTGTAGTTCTGAATGAGGCAGTGATTACCCACCAGTTTCATATCCACATGTAATACTTCTATTACATTTGAAAAGAGTACGGTCAGCTCTGCTAGCACAGGAATTGTCCCTGAAGATTTTGGTAATTTAATAATGCTTGTAGTTACATCAAATTATGACAAGCACCTTGGTGATCAGTCTGTCCCAGAGAACTTTATTTACAGGTACGCATACTTAGAGTGCTGAAATAGGCTTGCTGCTTTGCCTGTATATTTATCCTTCCTCAGTCAAGCAGTCCTCATATCACAATCCCACTGAAGGCAAATGTGCTCTCAACAGTGGCCTGGAACTTTATATATACAGATCTATATGGCGGCTACTGATCCCCTTTATATCTTCATTTTAGTAAGAAGCCAGAAGGCTGACTCAATTATTCAAACTATGACTATTTACTCTGTTTAGTATATTATTCTCTATCAAAAGCTGGCTCATATGTGCAGATGCTATTTGAGTTTCTCTAGATTTCTCTGTGGAGAAATCTTGGAAAAGTTAAGGTTTCTTAACCTTGTCTAATGAGTAAACTTTACAAAACCGGGTAATCTAGGCTGTACTGTTCCAGTCAGAATTATGACCCAATTATGGGGTAGAGAGAGGGAGTCTCATTACATGTTCATTGTGAATTTCTCAAACTACTGAGTAGTCAATCTTTATGATTTTTGAAATACAATACATAGTCCCATTTTTTTCTGAGTAAACATGACAAAGATGAATGCTGTTTATTATGTGATTGAGGAATTTTATTTGTAGCCTTATATTAAAAGATCTAAATGATGTATTAGTGAGATGTGAATTTCCAGTATTAGGCACCCTTATGGAAATAAGATTTATAGATCCACCAACATCCTGTGGAATATGATCAGACTACACCTCAGAAAAAAATTCTGTGAACACGAATGAGATTTCTTAGACTTATGTTTGCTTCTGAACCTTGATAGAGATTCACACGTAAGAGCTCATCTTCGAATGAAGGCTTGTCACACACTTCCCAGGTATGCCTGGCAGGAAACTTCACATGACTTTGATGAGGATGACAGTCTTCCAAAGAAAACGGAAAAAGGGCTCTTTGAAAATGTGGAACCACAGAAGAAACACAGGTAAAAAGTTGCAAAGGATTCCTCTTAAAGATTTCTGTCTAGTGTTAGTTTTCTCACCTTGGGACACATATATTCCCAAGAGTTTTCACTGCTGTTAGCTGCTGTTTCTATCAACATGCACATTTTTGTCTTATGTTTTTGATTAAAATATTTACAAAATTTTGCGGGAAGGTCCTTTACTCTTTGGTTTATTTTGTTCAGTGTATAATATCTTACTCATTTGTGTGTTTTTTTCTATTAAACAGTATGCTTATCCACCTTTGCCTCCTGACAACTTAGCACAGAGCCTATATATTTGTTGAATGAATGTGTGAGTGAACTTCTGAATAAGCATTTAAGATGCCCTAATGTTTTTAAGAAATTAAGAAAATGCAGTTTCTTCCTTTTTAGTTTAATGTTTTTTGTCAATGTCCAATGAAATGACAGGAATATATAGTACTTTGTATTATTTCATAATCTTTAGACATTTACTTGACATTACAGCAGTCACTGGAACACATGAATTAAACATTTTTGACACTTCAACATTTAGCACTAGGCCATGCACGTAGTAGGGGCTTAATAGATGTTTATAGATTAATTTAATTGACAATGTGTTGTGATATGTAATATGTTACTTCTGCTTAATGTAAGGTCCTTAAGACAGTCATTTAAATTATTAGTGCATCATTATTTTATGATATGCTATGACTTGTTAGAGGTGAGTTAAAAACTTGGAGAATGGTGTTCTGTTTCCAGGGATACTGTAGATAGAGGAAAGAAACAATCATAGTTTGAATAGAATTCCTTTATTTCTCTGTTTTTATTCTACATGCCCCTGCCCCCATTCTCTTACTTAATTTTAAATTTTACTTTTTCCTCTTTAAATTACCTTGTCAACTGAAGTTCTTTTTTCTTTGCTAACGAATTTTTCAAATATTCTCCTGGTAAACATTTATTTATGTTACAAAATAAGCTCAGAATTCTACTTCTTATGTCAGCTTAGAAGTGCAGTGCTGGTAGCATTGCCGTCATTCTAATGATATGGTCTATCATTTCAAGTTAACGTGTTTCACGTTGGAGCTCTCACCAACAGAACTTATAATCTCCAGCACATCAAGTGCATGATCAAGTGCATGGGACATTTTTCTGCCACTAATAGAGATTTCTTTATCTCAGCTGTTCACCAAAGCATAGTAAATTGCACAAGCATTGTCATCAGCAGTTCGAATACAGAGATGGGCAGATTATAAGCCATGCTGCTCCTCAGCTAGTCTTGGGGGTTCAAGGTCCCAATCTCCGATCAGGCATGGAGGTGGTTTTGGTGGAGAAGAAATCTGATGGTAGTCATCAGCGCTGGATACACCAGGAAGACAGCAGGTAATCCCATTATATTTGGGTTTACTATATCAAAAGGTGAATAGGATCCTAATAAGTCTAGCATGGTCCCCACAGAACAAGATGAACTATATCTGAGAATTCTGGGTCTTCTATTTAACTTAGCTGATAATTCTTTATCCTAGCCAAAGAAGAGGAAGGGAATAAAATCAAATGTAAATGCTAGGTAAGCTACATACAATTTATCCACAATCAGATTCAGAGGAGGAATGTTCCCTCTGATCTCCTGGGTATAGTTTTATCTGGCCATTGGGCTCAAGACTGAACTTGCATCAATGTCATTTTTATGAAATGAATAGATCAAATAAGAATTCTAAAACGTCCCCAATTTTCAAATTTTTTGATACTTTTCATTAACTTACTCCCCATCCTTCCCCCAACACACACCTTCCCTCTTTCCTCCACCTTCATAAAATAACCAGTTTGTGGTTTCCACTCACGCAGTATAAACTAATTCCTATCTTAGCAAATATATCAACCTAATTCAATGTCTGGTCCTGGATCCAAATTTGAACCAACTACAGTACTGTAAAAAAGTTATTTTTGAGATAATCAGGAGAAATATAAAACAGCTTGGCTATCTGATGACATTAAGGAAGTCCTATTAATTTTGTTGGGTCCAATAATGGTTCAATGGTAATGTTAAAAAAAAAGTCCTGATAAGTTGGAAACATTGTAGTATTTACAGATAAAATTAAAAGCTATCTTAGATTTGTTGTAAGACATTCTATCATAAATAAAAATTTTAAAAGTTGAGGGGAATGGATGAAATGAGAATGGCAGAATGTTGATGGCTGTTAGGTCCATGCTGGTTGATTACACATTTCTCTCTCTCTCTCTTTTTTTTTTTTTTTTTTTTTGGGTGCATATGGAACATTTCTTTAATCGAACAAAAAAGAAAACAATTCCCTGTTTTTTAGATTGGTTTGCTTCAAATTCTACCATTAGTGTGATATGGTGGGCCTCCAGGGACCTCTTTAATCTCTTGAAATAGTGTACAAAGTGTATGTTTGTGCATCGTGCAATTTATTTTTTCTGGGAAAGAGCTGAGATTTTCACTGGCTTCTCAAAAGGTCTGCGATGAAAAGGCTTATGAATCAGTACTTTGAGGGAGGTTGCACAAGCTTCAGCAGGCGGCAGCAGCGAGCCCTGCCTGGGCAGGAGAGGAGCTGGTCTTACTCTGCTCACTGAGATGAGCAAAGCCTCCGGCAAGGAGAACTCGCTGGGCTGATGTTAGAAAAGACGGGAAAACCAATTGTGTAGACAGACCTGGTGAAAGTGTTTCTTTGCCCCATTCACCTGGGCTAAGCTGCCTTTGCAATGTGTAGGTAGGACAGCAGGCTTTTGTTTCTGTGAATGGTTTGCCATATGGAACCAGAATTCATTCATTCAACTGCCAAGGGTTATTGAGGGCAGTGTTTTAGGAGCTGTTGCTTTACAAAGAACAAAACAGATAAAAAATCTTTACTCTTATGGAGCTGACATCCTAGTGTTTCCTCATTTCTACATTGTATTTAGCAATTTATATTATTGCCTCGGCTTTCTGTATTATAGTAGAGGTCCCCACTTAAACCTAAATTGCAATTTGAGCATGGCTGATAAATTTGGGTGGACATGCATGGGGAATGAGAATGTGACCCTACGGCAAGAGAAAGCCATTGCATAATGAGTTTGACCCAGGAATACTTGGTCATTGGAAGAGAATACTAGTTCTGAATCTTGCTCAGTGTCTGTCTGCCTAAAACTCTATGAGATGTTGGGTCATGTGTAGCACTGCCTTGGAAAATCTAACCATGTATAACACAGAAGAGAAGGACAGTTTCTTTCCATCTCCTCCCACTTTGCAGAACATTCTGTACTTTTGTCATCTTGGGAGCTCCTCATGTCAAGACACGGAAAAGAGAGGCAGTTAGTGGAAGGGAGATGGTGATATTGGTTGATCCGTCATTGGAAACGTCAGAGTCCAGAGAGAAGAGGTGGAGCATCAGGGGGCCCAGTGGGACAAGATTTGCTGATAAGCACAAGTCCCCCTCTAGGGACACCCAGACAGACTTGAACAAAATAGTTTTTTTTGTTTGTTTTTTTTTTGAGACAGAGTCTCTGTTGCCCAGGCTGGAGTGCAGTGGCATGATCTCGGCTCACTGCAAGCTCCGCCTCCCGGGTTCATGCCATTCTCCTGCCTCAGCCTCTCCGAGTAGCTGGGACTACAGGCACCCGCCACCACGCCCAGCTAATTTTTTGTATTTTTAGTAGAGACAGGGTTTCATCGTGGTCTGATCTCCTGACCTTGTGATCCGCCCTCCTCGGCCTCCCAAAGTGCTGGGATTACAAGCGTGAGCCACCGCGCCCGGCCAAGAGTTTTTGCAGAAGTCTTGTTGATTAGGTGTGGGCATGATTCAGAACAATATATGTCCCATGGCAGAAGTGTGTTTGTACAGCGACAGTAATTCTGAGGTTTATTGCACATCTTCCCTTGACATATTGCTTTGTTCTCTTTCATGTGGATGGGTGGCTTTTAAAACTCATTTGTTTTGATGAGCTGGTGAAACCTAGAGAACCGTGGGTTACACTATGTAGTAGAACTTAATGGAAAATTGCATTTATGTTAACCACAGTCTTTTTATCCTCCATATTTTACCCAGGCTAGTAAATTAGGGTATATATACCCATGTACATTACATATGTATATAATATATATCACCCTATGGCTGAAGGAGATTGCCCAAGAAAGGATAAACTTGCAATGGGGTCCCCTCCCCAAGGCTAGGGTTCAGGACTCATTAAAAAAGGTATGGTTCCATTCCACTGAATTGCAGAGCAGTTTTGCTGGTGTACCTGGCCAGAGCTTGTCTGTAGTGGCTGAATGTCTTAGTCTAGTTTCTGTTACTTATAACAGAATAACTGAAACAGGGCCGGGCATGGTGGCTCATGCCTGTAATCCCAGCACTTTGGGAGGCTGAGGTGGGAGGATCACCTGAGATCACCTGGCTGGACCAGCCTGGCCAACATGGTGAAACCCCGTCTCTACTAAAAATACAAAAATTAGCTGGGCGTAGTGGCACATGCCTGTAGTACCAGCTACTCGGGAGACTGAGGCAGAAGAATCGTTTGAACCCAAGAGGTAGAGGTTGCAGTGAGTTGAGATCATGACACTGCACTCCAACCCGGGTGACAGAGTGAATCTCCATCTCAAAAAAGAAAAAAAAAAAAGAATACCTGAAACTGAGTAATTTATAAGGAATGAAATTTATTTCTTACAGTTCTGGAGGTTGGAAAGTCCAATGTTGAGGGGTGCATCTGGTGAGAGCTTTCTTGCAGCTGGGGGCTCTCTAGAGCCCTGAGATGGCACAGGTCATCATATGGCACAGGGCATCATACAGCACAGAACATCACGTCACATTCCTTTTCTTATAAACCCACTAGTTTCACTCCCATTATGACCTATTAATCCATTAACCCTTTCATCTATGGATTAATCCAAGCAGACCCCTCTTGATCCAATCACCTCTTAAAGACTCCATTTCTTAATACTGCCACATTGGGAATTAAGTTTCAACATGAGTTTTGGAGGGGCATTCAAACCATAACACTGAGTGAGCAGGACATAATATTCTGGAACATATAGGGGGGTGCAGTCTGTTGCTGGGCACAGCAGCATTCAGAGGGAATGGGATGGTGGTACACTAGGAGGCCTGAAGCATGTGGTGTCCATGTCAGGAGAAAGTGAGCAAAGGAGCAATAGGCAAGCCCGGGCTATGAAGGTCCCAGGAGACCTGCTTCCTGGGCACCTCGCTGGAACAAAGCATCATTGGGTGTTCTCACTCCCAACTGCTGACCCCCTACCACAGCCAGAAAGAGCAGGAGAGCCCCTTCATCCTGCAGTCTTCTTCCAGCACTCTCTACTGAGAAAGCTTAACATCACACTTACTGTAGGGGAGAAATTCTTAAAGGATTCACATTCATTATTACAGAGCATGCATGGAGCTGAGAGGCAACACAGTGCTAAGTGGCACAGAGGGAGATCTAATCTGGTCATGCTACTTTGTAATGTGGCTAATCCTGTTTTCCCAAGGACCTTTCACCTTGTGAGTAACCCTGACCTTGTGCTGGCAGTGTCTATGACCAAGACTAGAAATGAAGTTTGTGGCTATCCAGTTATTGTTCAGGTAAGATATGTATGGCTAAAGATTAGTCATGGCCTTTTAATTAAATTTAAGTAAAGCTTTGTGCTTCCTTGTAGTGGAGGAAAAAAAAAAACTGTCATAGAATCCTATTTGAATGTTGTTAAAATATTTACAATAGTCTGCCTAGATTTTAAATTGAACATGTTCATGTACCTCTTAATTTAGTTTAATCCAACAGATGGTGATTGTGGGCTTGCTGCATGTCAGGCACTATGCTAGTTACTGAAATCAAACCCAATGGCAAGCATGAGAAATTGTCCCAACAGCATTCATC
The DNA here is from genome assembly GCF_000001405.40 of Homo sapiens. Classification (NCBI taxonomy): domain Eukaryota; kingdom Metazoa; phylum Chordata; class Mammalia; order Primates; family Hominidae; genus Homo; species Homo sapiens. The sequence goes on along the minus strand of NC_000011.10, from coordinate 30,911,034 downwards.
AAGCTTATGGTCTCAGTGGTGGCTGCAGGCAGGTGGATGGCTATTAGATGCACCTAAATTTGATCATCAGGAACATATGCAAGGCTCCCGTTTATAAAGGCCTTGGCAGCTGGAGAGAAAGAACCTAGTCAGGGAGGTCTTCCCGAAGGATGCAAGATCCTCAATGTTAATTCTACCAAACAACCCATTTGAAATTCTCTTTTCATTCACTGTTGCAAATGCTTAAAGCAGCCAGACAATTTATGGAGACTCCAGAGAAGTCTGGCTTCATTTGAGTTTTGGACAAAGACCTGGGAAGATCTTTTTTTTTTCACATTTTTCTGTCATTCTCACATGCTTATAACCAAAACCACTCTTAAACGAATATGTGTTTTTCCTTGCTAGTAAGGGAGAAAGTGAAGAGGCATTCCTGCTTTGCATGTACTTTCTGTGTCCTCCTCAGTATTTTCCATCCTCTTGTTGAACAGAATAGATTGCCTCCAGATAACATTTGTTTCATTCTGTGATTTTAATAGCAATGAAGCAACTTGTTTTGCAGGCCCTGAATCCAAAATTGAGACATAGCAATCTGGACAAATACCAAAGCTTAATTAAGTCTGCTATCCTGGTGATAAATATGGACTAAAAAATTATTCTAGGAGATAGAGTACATATAACATTACATTCTTCTCTGTCAGGTGCCTCATCAGCACAGACCACAGTGAGATACAACCTCATACACATACAGTTTTAGTACCTTAATCATATTCATAAAATTATAGATATGGATGGTTTCTCCCAAGGTTACCATTTCATAAGAAATAATTTGACCCCAAGGTAATTTGGATTACCTTTCAAGAATTTTTTGTTGCTGGTGTTGCGTTTATTGAAACAACTCGTTTGTGAGAAAATATTAAAGTTCATGTAAAATAATAAAAATGAAGCATCACAGGTTAATGCTACTAGACCCTTTTCTGTCCCTTGAAAATATAGTCTTTGGTTTTTCAGACCTCTGAGGGAGGCTTTATTGTCTGACCCATTAAATTAATTCTTGGGACTCATTTATTTTCTTCTTTGCTATTAAGCTCTCGCTTGGTAAAGTAGATGTTATTAATTATAAAAGTTCCTTGAGGTGTTATGACATATTTAGTTAGAACTAATCTACTGGTTTAAGTTCTGTTAAATTGAAACTATTTCTTTACTTGTACTTGAGCCAACTTTCACAATTAGAATAAATATATTGTTTCTATTACATGTCTAACTGAATGTACTTAAAAAATAAACCTCTTTGATAATCAATGAAATATAAATTAAAATATCAACAAGGTACTTTTTTTCATTTATTATATTCATGTTTTGGAAATATTGCCCATTTTTTGGCAAGAATGTAAGGAAAATGGGTCATTTAGTATATTATTGGCACAAGTGCAAGGTAAAATAATTTCTCTAGAAGGCATTTTGATATATCATAATCTTTAAAATGATTTTTTTATTGGCAACTCTACTTCTAGAAATTTGTCCTAAAAAATTATCATGGATTTCCCAAATATTTATTTACACTATTTGTTTATTTTAGAGAAATTTTGAGAAAGAACCTTCATGTTTAACTATTGGAGATTAGTAAAATATCCCTAAAATGAAATGGTATATATTTTTAAAAGATGTTAGAAAAAGGTTCAGGGAATATTGTTAAGAAAAAAAATTGCAGTTACCAAATTGTATGCATTTTATGATTCTATTTTTGTAAATCAAATAATGTGTATTTATAAACATATAAAAGATTGCATGTCTAATCACTAAAATTTCAAGAGTAGTAGTTGTCACTGTGTGGTGGGATTATGAGTAATTATCTGCACTTTCTGGATATATGCAATGAAAAACAAGACACTATAACCCTCACATGAACTCACTTGACTCCATATTTTGCCTCTTTTTTCAGAAATATAAGCCGTACAACAATGGAGCTGCCAATCAAAAGTGGCATTACATGAAAAATATAAAAGCACTTGTGGCCTTTCATAGCACTGCCTTGGATAAGGAAATTACATCAGCAAATTATGCTGGTGTCTGTACATCATCTGTGATTAAAGAAGAAAACATTGATCAACCAGTAAGTGGTTCCTTCCTCTCAAAGATAAAAGAAAAATAGGGTAAAAGAGAGTAATTTAATAAAATGAGAAAATTTTTTTCCCTAGAAAACTTTATGTTCATACAAGTTGAATGCTGATTTTTGAGTGAAATCACTTAGACTCTGATTCTGGTAGGAAAGAATGAAGGAAAATTGTGAGAGAAAAAGAATTAGGTAGTTTATATTAATCTAATGTACTTAAAATTTTTATAATTGAAATTTTCATACATATTCTAAAGTAGAGAGACTAGGGAAATAAGTCTTTATTTATCCATCATTCATATTTAACTATTATCTAGGTTTTGCCATGTTTGCCAACCCCAGACATTATATTACTTCACCTCCGTATGAATCACATACTTCCAAAAATTTTGGACATTTTCTGACATACTCATCATGCCATTCTCACAGCTAACAAGATTAACAATAATTCTTTGGCCATCTAATACTCTATCCTTAATCAAATTTCCCAGGTTGCCCTAACATTTTTTTTTTATGGTTTGTTGGTTTGTGTCAAGATTCAAATAAGGTCTCTATGTGACACTCAGTTGCGTAGTCTGGCTCCATTTTCATATTGAATGCCCCTTAATGGGGTTTGTTTACTTTCTTCTTTGTGGCATCCTTTGACTTATTTCCCCATCCCCCATAATTTCTCTAAATGAAATTGAGTCCTATAGTTGTAATTAGATTTATGTTTAACATTTTTTGGGGCCAGAATCTTCATAGGTTTTCCCACATGTTTCCTATTTATCACTCACATAGGCAATGTGTGGGTTTTCCATTTTCAGTCATGATAGTTATGAGTGGGTTCAGGTGTTTACAACCTGATTTCATGTTTAAAAATTCCCCAAAGACATTTCACTTAATGTTGCCCTCTTGTTTCAAAAGGGTCAATTTTGTCTAATTCTATCATTTTTTCCTACATTGATTAACTAAACTTTTAATAGAAGGAAGAACTTTAGCTCATCAATTCAATATTTGACTACTCAAAAATATGGTTGTAAGGGAAGGTAGGATGAACACCTAATTCTTTCTATTGATGTCACTTATCTATTGCAGTGTAACAAAACCCCTGAAAATTTAGTGGCTTAAATAAAAAACCCATTTTTTGCTTGGCGAGCCGGCGATTAGAGCTGGGGTCAGCTGGGCAGTTCTGCTGGTCTTGTCCCAGGTCACTAATGTGGCTACAGTCATCTGGTGGTTCTTTAGTAGTTGGGTGTTTTTATGGGGACTGGATGGTCAAAGATGGCGTCCCTCACCATCTGGTGGTTGGCAGGCTGTTAGCTGGGAACATTGGTTCTTCAACTACATGTCTTCTCGAGCAGGCTAGCTCAAGTTTGTTCACATTGTGGTCTCGGGGTTCCAATGGCAGCTAAAAGAGAATAAGCTCTGATGTGCAAGCACTTCTTATGCATCTGCTTGCATCACATTTGTTAGTGCTGTGTTGGCCAAAGCAAGTCACATGGCCTTTCCCAGATTCAAGGAAAGAAGAAAAGGAGAAAGATCGTACTTCCCGATTGGAGGACCAAAACTGTCACATTTTAAAAGGGCATGCAAATAAGAGTGGGATGGTTTTATTGTGGCCATCTTTACAAATAATCTGCCACAATTTCTAGTGGCCAGTTTGTAGAGTTTTAAATTGATGCCAGTTTACTTCCAACAGTCTCCGAAAAGTTGCAGTTTTGTTTTTATTTGCTTGGGGTTTATTTGTTTTTATTTATATTGTTAGCATCATTAAAACTCATAGGATTTTATATTTAAACATTTTCAAAATGTTTTAGTTATCAGTCTTTCTGTTGCTCCCTAATTGTCCCATTTTGGGGCAGTGGAGGCTCCTTCATGTTGGCTCCTGTGTCTTTTGGACATGATGATGGCTTCTTTTCATTCAGGACACAAGATATCCCTTGATTGTCTTGTATATTTCTTGCCTCAAATCTGGAGCTGGCCATTTCTCCAAGAAGCTGATTTTGCACATAGTTTATATTCATTGGTGTCGAATTGTCGTTACAGAATTTGGAAATACTTTAAATTTTTTAATATAGCATTTTGGCTAAATTTATGCTAAATTTAAATTTAGCATAAAATTTAAATTTAGCATTTTGGGGTGTTAAAAGTGCTATATTTATATTGTAAAATGTTCTACAGCAATGCTATAACAATTTAGATGCTCCTATATAAAGCCATCTTTGTCTCCCATTTTAGGGATACTGTTATCTCTCACCTGATGGAAAGAGAAAAACTATGCTCTGCTTGGCTTGTGGACAATCCATGAGAACAGAGAAAGGACTGAAACAATTGCTTCCAGGGGTTCCATTCCTCTGTATTTCAGGCACCAAGACTCAGAAGCCCTTCTTACAAGGGCCCTTCAAGGTCATCAGTGTGGCTGAGGTATGTAATGATCTGAGCTCTGCTAATGCATGTATGGCAACAATTTGGAAACTTTGATGCATTCATTATCTGCCTTGCACTCAAGTTCATCTCCACTCATCCAATTCATCTTCCTCAGATGCACCTTTACCATTCTACCTGCATTGATTTCCTTTTCCCCATTGTAATTTAAAATGCATTGTCTATTAATAGTTCAATAGACTCTTTGAAGTTAATTGGGCACTTCTGCAGCTTTAATCATTTACTGACATATTTCACTGTTCTCAGTGTTGCTTTTAGGTGAGGAAGTAACTGCAAATCTTTACTTCGTGGAACAGCTTTTTGCCTATATCCACAGGAAAAAACTTCTTTTTACTAGCATGGAACATTTCAGGGGGAATTGGATGTGTTGTTGTTAATGACTGTTCAGGTTGGGTGCCTGAATTCACACGTCTATGTCTAATAGTATTTAGAGTTCACGGAGGAACAACAACAAAAAAAACTCTTACCGCTTTCCTATAACCTTTGTTTAAAATGGTACCATTTAAAAAACCCTCCCTTTCAACTGTAGAAGTAAAAACTATGGGAACTTACACACCTGAATAAAAAGGAGCGATTCCTAAAAGGTGGAATATATCTTCCAGTCTGGTGTGCTCTTCAGGGCTTGCTCACCTCATCCCCAGATCACCCTCCTCCCTTCCCTAATCCTGATATGCATTGCGGTTACAAAAAACATCAACAGAAGCAATAGCTCTGAAGGAGAAAGGAAGTCAGTCCTCTGGGAAACCTGAAAGCATCTGGTTTGCTTTGAAGATAGTGGGATAATCTTAAGGAGATGGTGAGGAGTTGGTTGGAAAGAATCCCCAGTGCTACAGAATTTCAGACAGAACTTTGCCCTCAGGGCAGCATCCTAGGTTGGGATGAAAAGGGAAAGCAGAAGAGTGGTGTTCACCACCCTTACTACCATGTGTTTAAAGCTACAACCATTCCCCTCCCCATTCATCAACATCTTCCACCATATGGTGGAATCATCCTAAAGTTAAAAATTCAGAGGCTATCCATAATGTTAGTGTATTATTACTTTAATCCAGGCTCTCTCTGGCCATGGCAGAGAGAAAGCAAAAAACAAATAAACAAACAAAAACAAGAGAATGCCAGAAACACAAGCCAGATGCCCAAAGTCACCTAGTGACTCAGTGACAGGCCTGGGAGGGAACTGAAGAATTTGGATCCAACATCCTTCCGGCTCTAGTATTCAATATCTATAAAACATGAAGAGAGCATTGCAAAATGTAGACACCACACACGTATACACACATTTATTAAGAGACTAAAGTGTAGCACACTAAAACAAGAAAGTTTGAGTAAATGTACAATTTATTTTTTAAAAAATTAGGTTGATTTGTCGTGTGACAAGGCTGAAAAAACTCTAAGTTACTACCAAGCACGTCTATTGTCTTTACGGATGAAGACCTGCACGCAAGCTGCATCTCACAGTGGCATGGCAGCCACACACCAGAAGGCAGTGAAAATAATTGCATACAAAAATGGGGATGGGTATCGTAATGGGAAGTTAATTGTGGCTGGAACATTCCCCATGGTAAGTGGCTATCACTTAAATGCTGCTTGCATCTTCAGAGGTAATGACAATGGCAATTCTTCTTAAAGAAAAAGCAGTGGGATTGAGTGATAAATGTCCCTGGCCAGATTCACCAGTTAAAGCTGATGAGATGAAGATCTCTGTTTACTTAAAGACATTTTATTTGATTGTATGTCAGTGGATACAGACTTAGAAAAACTAGAAACCAGAATTCAGTTTTTAGATTGGCTCTAGAGCAGAGATCTATAAGAAAGAGGAAAACAAAGCTACTGGATTTTCTTCCTTCTTGTGATAGACTGAATGCCTTTTTCTGCCTTGTTTCTCATGCCAGCTTCAAGTTGTATGTCATCTGAATCATCCAAGAGATGCCACCTCATTCACCATCTGGAGTATCTGGGCATTTATGTGTTGATAGGATGTTTTATTTTATTTTCAAATTGGGGAAGCAGGGGCTGTGTTAGGAGGAACTACCTGGTCTGCCTTGGGGGCTGCTCCTCACAGTCATAGGAAGAGAGAAGAAGCTAGAAGGCCCAAACCCAGCTTTGTCCTTGCACTACTTGGTGATTATCTTGACTATTCACTCTGGCCAATGCCTTTAGCAATGTATTTTACAAGTGATATTTGATATGATATGGAGTTACCCTGCAGACTTCCTTGCAAGCGCACATATCTATTCCCTCACCTCTTTGGCTGAAAATATTTTTTTTAAATTAAGGTATTGTTACTCAATAAACTAAGCAAAATACAGAAGTTAGCAACTCCAAGATTCACCCAGGGATCCACAGCTGGCTTTTATGGTCTTGGACAAAAATTTTAATCTTTCATCCTGTTTTTCCATCTGCAAAATGGAGGTAATAATACCTGTCAGTTCTTGGTTTGAAGGTTAACTACTTACTTATTTTAAAGCGGTTTATCAGTATGAAGTATTACAACAGTTGTATAACATAAAGCAACAAATTTGAAAGTGGATTTTTAAGTTGAACAATTCTTAGAAGATACTCTGATGCTAAAATATATTAATATATGTCAGCTGCCATGTTAAATTTGTGGAGATAGGAAATTTACAGCTGGATTGGACTACTGTTGTGAAATTAGGTAGGACAATCTAATATCCAAAATAGTCTGTAATCAAAGATCAGCATCATTAGTAATTCAGCTTTCTATTTTCTCAAATTCAATTATTTTTTTTTTCAGATTTTTAGAATGACAAGCTCTTAATGATCATTCCCAATGCTATCACCTTTGCCTGTCAGATCCTTACTGCCTGTGTTATCTAGCTTCTTACAGAATGCACGGAACAACTTGGGCTTGCCAGAGCAGCCTCCAAAGTATATACCAAAGATGGAACCCCAATCTTTACCTTGCGTGATTTGGTTTTATGGGCTCTAGATGAATCCTTTCTCCAGAGAGACTCTGAGAAACAAAAGCAAGATGCAGCTCCTGTTGGAAAAGAACAGATAATTGTTGAAAGTATGGAAGGTTGGCTACAATCTACAGCATTTAGCTGATTCTACTTATGCTTGATCATGAAAACGTTAAACATGATTATTTCATTTAGTCAGTTTTTTCAGAATTTCAAAATCATAGGAAGCTACTTTTGTGACCCGAAGAGTGTCAATGAAATTGTCATGTTGTTTTCACCTTGCAGAATTATAAGAAAAGTTAAAAATTAATGCAAATTTTGATTTTAGCACTGAAACAATAAATAAACTGCATATAATTAATAAAAATATGTTTGACAGTTCAGCTACTTTATGGAACATAATCATTTTTTGTTCTTACTCAGAACCAAACTGAGTAAGAACAGACTGGTTTTGTTCTTACTCAGAACCAAACCAACTGGAGACCACTTAAGAAATTGGGGCTGGGTCAATGGAAATCTCTTGCTACTATTAGAAGAGAAGGTGTCCTCTCTATGCTTTTACTGTCATTCAAGTCCCCTTCCCTGTCTCTGTCTTCTCCACTTTTTACTATCTCCCAGAAGCTCCAGTCAATATCCATCTATTGCATTTTTGGACACACTGCATGATAATGATCTGTTTATAGCTGTGTGTCTTATTAGACTATTTGCAATTTGAGGGCAGTGACTGTGTGTGTCCCAAACGACAGTCTGCTAAATAAAAGCAAGTCTTGGTAGTAGTGATTCAGTAGTTTTCTCAGTATGAGATTTCCATGGTTGTACTGAGAGGCATAATTTAGAAGTTAAGAACTTGGATTTTGGAGCCAGAATACCAGGGTTCAAATCCCAGCTTTGTCACTTGCTAGCTCAATGGCCTTGGGTAAGTCGTTTAACTATTCTTGTATTCCAATTTTCTTATTTATAAAGTTAGGATACATTTTTAACTAATTTTACTATTTTAAATTTCTTACATAAAATGTACATATTTTACTATTTGTAAAATTGTCAATTACTTCATGGATATGGATATACACACACACACACATATATGTGTATATATATTTAACATGTCTCCATTATATAGATAACATTGTCTTAGTCCATTATTGTTGCTGTAACAGAATACCACAGGCTGGTTAATTTATAAAGAACAGAACTTTATTTCTCACAATTCGGGAGGCTGGGAAGTCCAACAGCAAGGCATTGGTAGATCTGGTTGTCTGGTGAGGGTTACGTTCTCCAGAGGGGAAGAATGTTTTGTCCTCACACAGTGGAAAACAGAAAGGGCAAAGGAGCCCAGCACTGTGTGAAGCCTCTTTTATAAGGGTCTTAATTCTATTCACAAGAAGAGAAGCCCTTATGACCTAATCACCTCTTAAAGTCTCTATCTCTCATAATATCATTACATTGGCCATTAAATTTTAACACCAGAATTTTGGAAAGCACACATTCAAACCATAGCAAGTATATCTATATATCTATATTTTCACTTGAACACATATATATGTGTATATATATTCAATATCTGTATTCGTTTGATCATTATTAATATATTCATTTGGTCCTCATAAATATGAATAATAGTCATTTGTGTATTTATATACACACACGCACATATATAACTTAGAACAATGCCTGGTTGATATTTACCAAACATTCAGTGAAATTACTTATCACTTTTGTGTATAGGATATTACTTATTTTGTATTCAAACGAGTTTTAAGAAAGAATTATGTGAACATTTAATGCCTAGCTGATTGCTGAAGCATATATTTCTGCCTTTATTTGGCATACAGAATATCTGAACTTCAGGTTTTATAAAATTACAATTTCAAACACTCTTCTTTAAATTCTTATTTAAAGCCTGGTTGGAGTAATATTATTAGTGTAGGACTATCAAAAGGGCATTCTTTTGATTCCATCTCTTCCTCTCTATATTCTAAAGGGTATCCTTAAATCAGGCAAGCCCATCAGTAGGCTGCCCCCTTTTATGGAATTGTGACTTGATGTTATGCCATCAGTTTGCATTAAGGAACTTTAAAGAAACAGCTGTTGGTCAGAATTCAACATAGTGCTTACTATGCAGGCAGTCATTAAGAGCACAGGCTTCACTGGAAGATGGCCTGGATTCTAATCTTTACTCTGCCATCACCCAGCTATGTCACTAAAGCTCAGTTATCATATCTGTAAAAGAGGACTGATAATAAGCCCTAACTCAGAGTCTCAGAGTATCATTTTTAGAATCACATGAGATGATGTATGTAAAGGCCTTAATAAAATACCCAGTATATAGTAACTTCTCAATATATATTAATTTTCTATTGCAGGGTACTGTTAGCTATATCACGAATAGGCTCTTTATGAGGACCCTTAAATGAATTTTTCTCAGATCTCAGAACCAGGAAAAGTGCATTTTCTATGGAATTTCTCACTATATGTGGGCCATATGAAGCTGGAAATTGTGTTTTTCTCTTTGCTTTCGCCATTAGGAAGCTCAGAGCCCAAATTTTGCTTTATCTCTAGCAAGTAAAAACAAGGTGGTATTTATTTCTGTTTAACAATAAAAATAATATCTAACATTTATTGGATGTTCATCAGAGTAAATAGACCAAACACTATTTCTTCTAAGCATATTACTTTGTTCTTTTAAAAAAAGAAACAGCAGAATGAGATATTATTATTCATTTAAAATATAAGAACACTAAGGTACTTTATCCCTGGATTTAGTCTATTCCTATACTCCTTTCCCCTGTGCTTGATTTTTTTATCTCTATTTTTTCCATTTCAGAGTAAGAATTTTGGTAAGCCACCTCAAATTTCTTTCAGAACTAGGTGATGTGTAAGAAAGAAATTAAAACATATTTACAATCTTATTAGTTTATTTTTTGGGTTGTATATGAAGTTTCTGACCAAAATTATGCATTAGTCTCTGATTTTGGCATTGCCTGTTTAAATCAAATTAAGTTATTAATGAATAATAAAATATTTTGAATAAACAAATTCAGAAAACAAATTTATTCATTATTCGTTGAACAATGATAAATGTGTCATTTTTTCCACCAGAAAATCCAAGAATGAAAGTGAAAAACAGATTATTTGCAAAATCTGTGACATCCGATAGTTTGGATGGTATAGACAAGTCTTTGCTTACCCTCATCCTCAGAAATCCTATTGCCATCTGGGTGTCTTGTGGTGAACCATTTCTACCTCCAAATGGTAACTTTTTTGTTTTTGCTTTCTTTCAAGCAAGTATATGAAGGGAGAGAGAAATACATTTTATGCCATCATAAGAAAATGAATTAAATGTGTATAATATCAACATAATAACATCACATTTATACAAAGAACAGAAGGTTCATCAACTAATATGTGCACAGGGATAGCTATACTCTCATGTTTGCACATTTGCCTGTTTTTTTCTTACTGGAATTGAGTATTCTGTGTGGAAAAATGTCTAATTTAGTTGATAAAGAGATCCTTGAGAAGACTGAGAATAATGGTATACATTAGAAAATAACAAATGAGTTTAATTCACACTGAGGACGACCTGTCTGCACATTTTCATTTTTAAGAATTGCACCCTTTAGGCAGTAGGTGGATGTTTAAAAAATGAATGGTTCCAAGCCAGGCTTTCATCACCTCCAAATAGTTTGTGGAAGTGGAAAATGAAATATGGCTATTGCATATGGTAAATCTATATAATAAAACAGCATCGTTCTTCTTTTTTTTACCCCTCCACTCCATAAAGAAATGCCTTAAGCCCTGTCATCTTTCAAATGAAGTTTCTTTTAATGACCCTTACCTTTTAATTACTTGTTTCTAATTGAATCTATTTCTTTGAGCAGAAAGTTCTTTATAAATTATTGGTGCGCGTGATAAATTACTGTTGATAAAATATCTTGTATTTTTATTATTCTAGCTTTGCAGAAAGCAGAAAAATTAGAGAAACAGAACTGGCTAAAAAAGGACAGAATTTTGGCTGATCTAGATACCATGAGACACAAAATGAGACAGTTAAAAGGTCAGTATGAACTATATCAAGCATAACCATATTTAATTCAAAATGTAGCCCCAAATTGCTAATGGTTATTTTCTACCATTAGATACCAAGTGTTTAAAGAGTACTATATAAAACAATATATAAATATTGTTTTACAGAAATCATTTGAGCAAAGTCTAAAACCTAATAATATATTTTTTGGTCTGATTTTATATCTGTAAATTTTATATTAAAATGAATATCAAATGACTTATGCATACGTCTTAAAAATTAAAACTTAGGAGGATACCTGGGCAAGAGAAACTACCTCATTGTTTTTGAAATAATCCCTCAACAGACGTTTTGTGGGCTTCAGAATTAATCTTTAAACAAACCTTGCTGTCATTCCTTGGGTATTGCTGGGGAAGAAGTTTTTTTTTTTGTTTTTTTGTTTTGTTTTGTTTTTTTAAGTAATCTGAATGAGGAAGTACTAAAATCTTCAGAAGTCAGTGTCAGTAACTTAAAATGACTCCTTTTTATACAGCATAAGACATGCTATTCACAGTCAAAGTGATCAATTATTGGTCTCCTTCTTCCATTCTCTTTAACACAGAATCTTAGGTTTCTGACCCTATACTATTCCCAGGACTTGAGATACAAATGATTCTTTGGGGAGAAACAATGTACTATGGACTTGAGTCTAGGAAGGAACACATTTCAAACTCAGTAATTGCCATAGCAGAATTTCAACTCCTGATGCTGTCTTGTGTTAAAAGCATATGAATCTTGCTTCAATAAATAGCAGAACTAGTCCTAACTGCATTAGACTTAACTGTGGTTTGCAATGGCTATTACCCAGTTCTTACCAAAAGAAGAATTGGGTGTAAGTGAAAATAATGACTACTACTAACTTCTACCACTCCTACTGCTAGACATTTTCACTTGAATGTTCCATGGACATTTCCAAAACTACAACTGTCATACTACCCCAACACCAATGCCTCCTTTGTTTCTGCTAGTAGAGGGTTCTACTACCATCTACCCAGGTGTTCCTCCTCAAAAACCTGGAAGTCATTCTTGGCATCTCCCTCTCTCTCACCTTCCCCAAGCAAATATTCAGTAAGCCTTGTCACTTTGAATCTGTTAAGTTGATCTCAAATGATTCTAACTCTCTCCAGCTATATATCATTATCCAAGTTCAAGCTACCATCATCTATATATTCCTTGGGACCATTGGAACAGTTTCCTAACTGGTCTCCCTGCTTCCATCTTGACAGCGGTTTCCATTCTAGAAATAATGGTGACATTCTGAAGTTGAAGTTATCATACAAAAATGCGAAGGTATTATGATACTCTAGGCACAAAATCTTGCAAGGTTTCCTATTATCTTTAGGACAAATCCTTGAAACTCCTCAGCGTGGCCCTTTATAATCTTGTTCTCTGTAAGTTTCTGTTTCTCCTTGCCCACTACACTTCATACATTTTAGCTTTCTTTTAGCTCCCCAGACATACCATGCGCTTTCTTAACTCTGAGCTTTCGGCACATTTTAGTTCCCTCTACCTCAAAGTTTTCCCTCTCCTGTCCTGTTAGGTCGCTCCTACTCATTCTGTGTTTTTAAGGTTACTTGTTACTTCTTTCCTGAAGCCTTCCTCAGCATTCCAAGCCTAGGGTAATGTGGTTTATCCCACTTTGAACTTCCCCTCCAATAGTCATCATCACATTATTATGATTACCCATTTATGTGACAGTCTTTCCTATGTTAGATTATACATTCTATACCCTTCTCATTTGTTCTCTGAATAGTTGTAGAATGACTGATTTAAAGAATAAATGGAACTGCAACCATTCGCTCCAGGGAGTTTTCTAAGCTGTATTCCTGTACCAAGTTAAATACTGAAAATAGCACCTGGTATGGCTGCCTTTATTAAATTCTGATTTTATATTGTCTTCAGTTTTTATTACAATTAAGTATTCAATTTTTTTTTTTTTTTTTTTTTTTGAGACGGAGTCTTGTTCTGTCGCCCAGGCTGGAGTCCAGCGGTGCGATCTCAGCTCACTGCAAGCTCCGCCTCCCGGGTTCACGCCATTCTCCTGTCTCAGCCTCCTGAGTAGCTGGGACTACAGGCACCCAAGCCCGGCTAATTTTTTCATACTTTTAGTAGAGAGGGGGTTTCACCGTGTTAGCCAGGATGGTCTTGATCTCCTGACCTTGTGATCTGCCTGCCTCGGCCTCCCAAAGTGCTGGGATTACAGGCATGAGCCACTGCGTCCGGCCAAGTATTTTAAAAATTTTAAGTTAATTTGTCATCATCTACAATACCACTGTTTAAAACTCTGTATTTGGTCAGTGATGTCCATTCTGGAGGGATCCTTTGATGTGGTTTCTCTTAGAATTGAGTGCTAACATAAATCATGTCTCTATTGACAAAGTGGTATGTTTTCTGCTATTAAATATAAATTCAACACATGCTTATAAAACATTTACCCTCATGAAGGCCTTTTTCTAGCTGGTGAGATTATGAGGATAAATAAGAACAAGTCTTAGTTAACTGCAAGGCCTATAAGATTGTGAGCTTCCTCAGGGTTGGCTAAAACAGGAGGTATGAATAGTTGCTAAATCAGCTATTCTATATTATAGCCATTGGTAATTGCAACAAGCATTTATTGAGCATATGCTATGTACAAACCACTGTGCTAGGCTGACTTTACATTTCACTGGTAAGCATGAACATTGCTAACATTAATCATAATACTAGTAATTACTTTGTTGGGTTTTCATGATTAAGTAACAAATGTCAAATCTTTACTACATGGTTAGTATATAACAAATACTCAATAAATATTGGTGTAAGGATTCCTGAAAAGGCAACTCGTTTACCCACTTGGGGTTATAAAACTGATAAATAAGTAAAACGCAGGAATGGCAGATCAGGCTAAATGATCAGTGTTACATGTAAAGGCAATGTTGGAGCATTTAATTTAGTGTGAAAGCGAAATAAGTCTGCTAACTGAAACCCCAGATTGTGTGGGCTTACCCTTGCAGACACAGGTGATTCTGAATAAGGGTGGGCCTCCCAATAAGACAGCGAATGGGGAGAGCTGTCCGGGCAAGACTCATCCCATGAAAAAACAGCAAAGCACTTGTGTTCTCTAGTTTCTAAGAGAAACAATGGGCCAAGAATCCCCAGCTTATTTTCCCCAATTTCCAATCAGAAAAATAATCTGCAATATCAGTGGAGCTCCATCCTCAAAATGAAACAATAGGACTAGGGAAGAGGCATGCCTCATTAATAGTTAGCTATTATAATTACTATCCCCTGATCTCATGTGAAATAAAACAGGATATATGGGAAAATGTAATAAGAAAATAAAAAACAATTCGTTCAATACATTATTGCATGGTTTCAATTTATGTTATTCATACCTATGTAAATAATAGTTTATCATAAAAACCTTTCCCCAGACTAAAATCTTTTGTGATGACATTATGTCTCTTCATGAAAATTATAGCGCAAGTGCATTCATTTTCTTAAGACCGTTAGAAGCAAGTTGACAAAAAATGCATAATGTTTTTTCCTGTTTTCTATACTCAATCCCTAGCTCTCAGCAGTATAAATGATAAACTATTGCTGAACTCTCTGTAGTTGAGCAAAATTTTAGTGTTCGAAATGCATTCTAAATAAAATATTTGTTGAAATGTTATTTATAAAAATGTATGGGCCATAAATTAATGTTATCTGCACTCTATAAATAGAGTTGGGTAAAAACTATATTTAGTATAAATTTGTGTTACGTATTTGTGAGGTGCCACCATGGTCTTCTCCAAAGTGCATTGCTTAATGGCATTGTCACTGTAACTCATTGACTGATTGATTCAATTATGTTTTCTTCACATCCATAAATTGCATATAAATGCTTATTAGGGACATAATAAGCATTTCTGGTTTCCCTGAAAAGTCATTATTGCCATTTATTTTTATTGCTGGATCTATTTCCATAAACTTGAGCTAGAAGAGCACAAGTGCTTTATACTCTATAAGTACCAGATTATTTTCAGTTTTGTTTGAGTCATGGTCTAAAAATCTTCACATTAAGATTATGTTGGCAACAAAATTGAGACTCAATTTCATTTTAGTAATTCTATTGTTTTATGAACCTAAGTGTTACTCTCTCTAAGAAGCCTTCTGTTGTGCCTCAGACTAGGTTAGCAACTCCTGTTAGGAGCTGTTATAGATCTTGTGCTTTCCCGGTGCAGCCCAATTGCAATCCATTATTGGTATAATCATTTCCTTGATGTCTGCCTTCCCGACCAAACTTGAGGCAGGAACTCATTCTCCAACATGTTTGTGCTTGCATTATCCAACACAACACCTCACCCATAGCTGTTGCTCAATATAGGTTTTTGGAAAGAAGATACAAGAGAAAGCATTATTTTTACTTAATAAGCTTAGAGATCAATATGAAATGTGGGCTGAGTATATCTTCAACACAGAAAAAGAAAACAATTTCATAAGTGTGACTTTTTAAACCTCTTTTATAACTATTTTAAGTGGTCTAGTGGTAAGAACACATAAATTGGAATCACCACACTTATTAAATTGTGCCTGTGATTCTTTAGAATACAGTATTCCAATAAATATTTTCTCTTACTACAGCTTCCTAACAGCATAAAGGGCACAGCAGAGGTGTCAGAAACTAATCGTGCTCGCAGGGTATTATTAGATAGAAAAAAAAATTCCTGTCTCTTGGGTTAATATTATTTTAGAAATACTTAATCCCCAGGCTGCTAAGCTAATTGTGGGGGAAAGGCTTATTATTAGTAAAGAGAACAAAACATATGTTCCAAGACTAGAAGGATGATAGGAGCTATATATGGTCATGAATTCTATTTGACTAAATTACTGCTGAACCATATCATGGATGCAAGGCTGGGGCCAGTGTGGAAATCAGCATGTTATCTTCGTCTTCTACCTGTAGAGTATGTATATGAATCCTGGCTATTTAAAGCCTGAAGCTCCCATATGAAAGAGGTATTGTTAGATATTATTACCTTAGGCATCTTTGCTTTTATGATATATTTAGTATTTTAGCTTATGCTCCTGTGTGGAACGATTTATACATAGAGAGCCAAATCAGTTTATTTGAAATCTGAAAGCCTATCATCAGAAACAAAATTTCTAGAGACTTGTTTCCTCAGGGCGGCGAGTAGCGGCATGTCAGCCAGCCACCATGGTTCCTACCAAGAGCCCTGTGCAGCCCGTGGTGGTTGAAGGAGGCTGGACCGAACAGACTCAACAGGAAATTAAACTCATGGAACTTATAAGACATACAGAGGTATGTTCTTTGGGATTCTGGACATTAAAGACTCTGCCCTTTTTATGAGTATTTAAAAGTACAATATTGAATTTTAAAATGATACTGTTAATATATTCTCAGCATCTGATCAGTTATGACCATATAAGCATATGCCAAGCATTGAGTTGGCATTTGGAGAGTAGCTGTCTAAAAGACAGCCAGCTCATATGAGGGTCTGTTTTGTTTGAATGGAGACTGGAAATTATGACCTTAGCAAAGAAGAGAAAAAGGCCCAGCGGATATGTACAAAGGTAATTGTAATAATTGTAGTCATGTTGAGCCTTCTGGCTTCATTGCTCATTACTCCTAAGGGCATGTCTCAATATGTAAAAAGAGCAAGGAGTAAAATACTAATTGCAATGGAGACATTCAGAAGTGAAGAATTAAAGAAGTGGTTTCAGTCCAATTGGTTAATCAGTCAGGATTGCCAGACATAAAAAAGTCAAAAAGATAAAGGTCAGCTGTTGAGAGAGGACCGGGGAGAGAGACCAGGGAAAACTTTTTTGCTTTGTGAAGTTTTTCATCAAAATGATATGTTCCTATTTAATAAGATTTCTCAAATTCGTGAAATGTTTTCAATCTAAATCTTAGGCACGTGCCCAAGTCAAGGTTACTAGAACAAAAGGAATTGACATCCCTAGAAATAAGACTTCGTGCCAAGCTAAGAAGGATAAATCACTGACCAGGGAATGAATGCAAAGCATTGAACTAGGACATGCTTGAAGTAGAATAAAAAGCTGCCTGGCAGGGATCTGGCAAAGTATAAGGGTGGATGCTGTATTTTAAAAGACAGCAAGTAAGGACTGAAACAACACTCATGTATACTCTTGTCTGCATTTCTTGGTTAGAGGAAATGATGTGATTCTAATAAAAAACTCATTTGTTAGATGCAGAGAAATCTCTCAGTAGGAGAAACATCATGCAAAAGTCCAAAAATACTTCTCTCTGCATTTCTTCACATTATAAATGAAAGTTAAGTGCTTTGCCAAAATGAGTGCCTTATTATTATTATTATTCTAATGATTGTTATTGCCTTTAGCATTTCATTGAAGCAAGGGGAATTTACCAGAGTCAGTGACAAGAGAGGCTAATGTACTTAATAGTTACTTCCTAAAATTTTTTCCATATAATTTATTAATTACAAGATATATCTGGATTTTATCACATTCTTCACAAACACTATCCAGACAGTTCTCTAAACACAACATTCTCTGGGCTTTTCTTGACAGGCACACCTTTCTGAAATCCAAGAAATGGAATCCAAAATAAATTTTCCAATTGCAACCAAACGTATAGCAGTCAAGCCGAGCAACCTGTATAAGCAGCCCAACACAAAACGAGTGTGGATTTATCTAAATGGAGGCAGACCTGAAGATGGCACTTATGCCTGGGGCAAAACTATTTCAGAGGTAAATCTAGTGTGAAAGGAGTGTTTCATAGGCCTGAGTTTGAATCCCAGCTCTGATATTTCTAGATTGTTTGGTCAAGCAAATTACTTCTATGAACCTCATTTTCTTGTCCACAAAATAGTAACAGTACTTTCCTCATAGGATTGATCTCATGATTGAATGAACTTATATGTGTGAAAAGGTGAAGTTCAATGCTGTCTGACATAGATGTGAATCTGAATAGGCAACTTGTCCAGCAGAGAACAGTGCCAGTTCAACCCACTCCTACCAAAGAGTAAAATCTAAACTTTAAAATAATTTTCCTCATCCATTTTATCTTATTATTATTACATTATTTATTTATTTGAGACAGAGTCTCACTCTGTCACCCAGGCTGGAGTGCAGTGGCATGTGTCCTTATCCATTTTAAATCCAGTTCACAAGAGTAACTTTTTTTACCCACCACGAATCATTTACTAGATATGTTCTGTCTAAGAAAAACAGTGGTACTCATTAGAGAAAGCCTATCATATTCTTATTACCCAGAGTCCTAGAGCTCTCAGAATTCTCACTTCCCAAAGTTAAAGTATTGACTAAGGAAAGAGGATTAACAGTTCATTTTTGGTTTGTAATTTCAGGGATAAAATTCTGACATTTTTTCTTAATCTTTAAATGAAGACTTTAGGCACATAATAAATGAATTTGGGTAGTCTTTTTAAAAGTCTTATCTGTTGCAATGATGTCTTAAATAGTAGTTTGTCTTTTTTATTTTGTGAAATGTTTTCATGAATTTTTCTGGGACAAGTGAAAGTCATATAGAGATGTTGTTGGTGGTGGGGGGTGTGGAAAGGCAAGATACTATAATAGACTGGCTTGGAGAAGTTCATGGAGGCTGGTGAGGGCACATAGAGTAGCAGGGCCACCTGAGATGGTTCTGCCCCTGGACATTAATCCAGTTACAAAGTGTAAGGGAGACCACTCTTCTTTGACAGGGAGTTTGCTTAAGAATGGTGACAGCAATTTCATATCAGAAGTTGACAACCAATTTGTTGTACTTCAGAAATAAGAGATTAAAATATGAAAAATGTATACCCCAAATTAGGAATACAAGTAAAGGATCTTCATACATGTAGGGAAAAAAGGAAAGTGATTTTTAAAAAAGATAGTGAAAGCTTTTTCAGAAGAGAGCTACCTAGAAAAAGCACTATAACAAAGCTGAAATGTCTTTTCCTTGCTGGTTCTTTCAAAAATCAGAGTTCATGTTGTAGATGCTAAGTGTTAAAATGCACTTAAGTATTGCACCTAGAACTGATAAATTTCTGAGAGAATATGCAATGAGTAATAAATGGGTAAAGGGTAGAGCTGAGACAATGGGGGAAGATAGCCTATCAGATTCAGGGTAGAAAAAACTTACAATAACTTTGATGAAGAATACTTATATCTATATCTAACTGGGGGATGACTTTTTGATTTATGTGACTCTGGTGTAGCATATAAAAGGCATTTCATGACTCTTATTCCATGATCATATAATTTTTATGAGCTTTATATATGAAGAGCCCTATTCTAGATGCTGTAAATTATTTTTCTAATTTATGTCTGTGGAAATATTTTTGTAAACTTAATAGTGCTATATAATTGACAGCTTAACATCAATAGTCGTAAGTAGCAGTAGAGTCTGTGGTCTCTTTAAATTAATATGTCAAATTGACAGAGTTTTAAAAAACTATATCCAAGGTTTACTTGGGAATGTAGAGAAATGGGCACTCTGGAAGTACAACTCTTTGGAAGACAATTTGGCTGTACATATCATAAGAAAGTACATATCAAAGCAGAACTTGATCCCAAGGATATTTTAATGAACCTAGGCAACAACTATTTATTAAGAATATTTATTACAAGCCTATTTCTAACAGAGCTAGATTATGAGTAATTTAAAACCTCATCAATAGGGAGTTGATTAAATGAATTATATAGCACATAGGATGAAATACAGTAATTCAAAACTACCTTTTTGAAATAATAATAAAGATGTTTAAGATATACTTAGTGAAAGAAGCATTATGTAAAGCATGTGGAGTTAAGTTCTGCACACATATATGCACAGATATAGAAAAAAGACTAGAATGATTTTATTAGGTGGCCATATTATGGGAGACATTTATTTTTCTTTCTTGCATGTTTTCCTATGTGTTCTATATTTTTTACGGTAAGTCCAGATTTTTTTAATAAGGAAAAGTTGTATGATAGGGAAGCTGATATTCCTCTGAGAGAAGTACTAATAGAATGTGATAAATGTAAAATTAGCAGTGAAGGCAGGAATCTCAGCTGAGAAAAGTGGAGCACAGTACCCACCTAGGGTGGCAGACAAGGCTCTACAGAGGAATCAATCAGGAACTCTGATGGAACTTGAGAAATGGAGAAGATTCAACACCTTAAGCAGAAAAATGGTTAGCAAGGATTAGGGACACCCATGTAAATATAGGTGTTGGAATTCATAAAGCGTATTAAATAGGTGCCCCATGGACAGAGAAATTGGAAGAGATAGATGTGACCAGAGAGATTGTTTAAAAGCATATGATAGACCCCATATACATATGTATTAGTTTTCTCAGTCAGCCATAACAAAATACTAGACTGAGTGTTAAACAGCAGAAACAACAGAAGTTGATTTTCTCACAGTTCTGGAGGCTGGATGTCCAAGATCAAGGTGCCAGCTGGGTTGGTTTCTGGTGAGGCCTCCCTTTTTGGCTTACAGACAGCCACCTTCTTGCTGTGTTCACACATATCCTTTCCTTTGTGTGCATGTGGAGAGAGAAAGAACCCTGGCGTCTCTTCTTTTTCTTGTATATAAAGAAACCAGTCCCACTGGAATAGGGCTCCACCCTTATGGCTTTATTTAACCTTAATTACCTCCTTAAAGGCTCTATCTTCGAATATAGTCACAGTAGCGGTTAGGGCTTAACCATGAATTTGGAGTGGACACAGTTTAGTCCATAACACTATCCTAAACTCAAGTGCTTGAACCACTACTTGCCTGTAAATAAAGAAATGGCATGGTGAAAACAATGTTTTGGGAAGATTAATGTGGCCTAGATGTGTAAAAGGACACTTAGAGAATGTCTAGAAACTTCGAATCTCTTCCTTTTCCATGCTGTGTATTTTTGTCTTTACGGGCTTGCATGCGATTCTTTGTCATCAGTTAGGAATGTATCCTTTCACGCTGTCAGGCTGTATAAAATACCTCTGGAGGATGGACTGTGTGTGAGAAATGAACAGGCAGCAGGAAGGGTAGGGTTTGGATTTCACTGGGGGTGTCTGGCTAATGACAGTGACTCCAAAGAAGCTCAGAGTTTCAGTGTTTGAGACTTTTGCTGGAAGAATGAGAAACAGATCACATTTCAAAGTGCTTCTCTATACCTTCTATAATGAAACCCCCAGATGGTATTTGAATCCCATCCAATGTGGACTTTCTCTCAACTGCTTTCACTGCTGTGGCTATTCTGGATGATTTAGCCATGTTCTTCCCACCCACTCTTTGAACATTGCTAGACTTACTCTCATCTCCAACTGTTGTCGGCTCATCAGTCATCAATGCACCAAGGCGGCTCTCTCTCCAGGGTTAGTGGCTCTTTCTGCAGGACCAGCATCTTTCTCTGATTTATGATTGCCTGTGCCCCTCCTTCTATGGTCCTGAAGCGTTTGTCTTCTCCCATTCCTGCAGCAGCTCTCTAATTCTACAGAATCTCAAAATCAGAGTGTTCTTCCTTGGCCTAGGAATGGTTCTGAATGCATGAGCAGAAGCTCAAGGAATGAAAAAGAGGTCCTTCTGATTTGGATAGGCAAGTACCTCACGCCCACAGGGAGTGTGCAATAGTTCCATGATGCCCATGTGCCCCACCTGAGGAGACCTGGTCTATGAAAACAAAACTCAGAAAATAGACTGTGGGTGAGCAATTATTATAGAACAGTGTTTCTTCATCATGAACTTTGTTATTGCAAAAACATTTAATTTATAGTATACACTTTAAAGAGAATACTTGAGTAAATTTAGATACATTTGAAAAACAGAATTAAGAATGTCTCTTTTGTTTTGTTTTGTTTTTTGTTTGTTTCCTTTTGACACGGAGTTCCACTTTTGTTGCCCAGGCTGGAGTGCAATGGCGCTATCTTAGCTCACTGAAACCTCCGCCTCCTGGGTTCAAGCGATTCTCCTGCCTCAGCCTTCTGAGTAGCTGGGATTACAGGCATGTGCCACCACACCTGGCTAATTTTGTATTTTTAGTAGAGATGGGGTTTCTCCATGTTGGTCAGGCTGGTCTCAAACTCCCGACCTCAGGTGATCCACCTGCCTCGGCCTCCCAAAGTGCTGGGATTACAGGCGTGAGCCACCGTGCCCAGCCTAAGACTGTCTTTAAAGGTCATAATATGACTAGATATCTTAGAACCTAATTGTACTGAAAACGTCTATTTTTTTCTTTTTAACTCATCTGTATTTGTTACATTCTTTTAGAGCAGAATGTGACTTGGGCATTACATTTCCAGGCACAAGCCTCACTGAGTTACTTTTTGAACAGCTTTACAAGATGCGTAGGTAGGCCTGTAATTTTGCTCCTCTAAACAATCTTGTTTCTCTTTCTTTCTCTCTCTTCCTTCCTTTCTCTTTCTTTCTTTCCCTTTCTTTCTTTCTTTCTTTCTTTCTTTCTTTCTTTCTTTCTTTCTTTCTTTCTTTCTTTCTTTTTCTTTCTTTCTTTCTCTCTCTCTCTCTCTCTCTCTCTTTCTTTCTTTCTTTCTTTCTTTCTTTCTCTCTCTCTCTCTTTCTTTCTTTTTTTTTTTTGACGGAATTTTGCTCTTGTTGCCCAGGCTGGAGTGCAATGGCATGATCTCAGCTCACTGCAACCTCCACCTTCTGGGTTCAAGTGATTCTCCTGCCTCCCAAGTATCTGGGACTACAGGCTTGCACCACAATGCTTGGCTAATTTTGTCTTTATAGTAGACATGAGGTTTCACCATGTTGGTCAGGTTGGTCTCAGACTCCTGACCTCAAGTGATCCCCCCGCCTTGGCCTCCCAAAGTGTTGGGATTGCAGGTATGAGCCACCACACCTGGCCAAACAATACTTTTCTTTGAGAAATAAGCCCTGTGGAGAGTTACGTTAAGTTGCTTCTGTTTAACATACTTATTTCTAGTGGACTAGTACGTGCAGAATTGGCAACCACAGGGTATGGAAAGTTTAAAAAGTAGATCCTAGAAGACTAACAAATACCTTACTTCTAGACATCAAGGTATATTTCAGAACACTTCAATGCCAACATATTTGGTCTGCTAAGGAATCTGGCTTGAACACTTTAGACCTCAAAGTTAACGTTAGGCTACATACATCTCACAGCACACATTACGTTGATCTGTTAAAAGAAGCCAATTTAAAACTAAAAAAGCATTACTAACCTGCTTTAGTGCCTAAAGCATCACAGCATCGCAAGTAGAAGTTGAAAGATATCTTATCTTCCCCTTAAAGGAGTTGTTGTCATGCCTTATATCTCTTTTTAATGTTAACCAAAATAAAGGAAAAAAGTCATTGAAAATATATTATCAGAGAGAATGAAGATAAAATATTGAACATGAATACAAGTCGTTCTTCAGCCAGAGCTTAGTCTATTTCTTCCATGCATGATATGTCATTATCTCCTTCAAGGGACAGCATTTCATTAGTTACAACAGAGAAAATGCTTTATTTTCATATTTAATTTTTTTTTCCTAAATTTATTGACTTTACATACAAATAGGTCTTAGGAGAAACCAAGTAAAATAACCATAGATTGAATTTATATTTTGCCTTTAAAGTATGTTTTAGTTAAATTATTTATATATTTTTTTCTGTTT
Organism: Homo sapiens; assembly: GCF_000001405.40. Lineage (NCBI taxonomy): Eukaryota > Metazoa > Chordata > Mammalia > Primates > Hominidae > Homo > Homo sapiens. The sequence goes on along the minus strand of NC_000011.10, from coordinate 30,886,955 downwards.
GTAAGTAGAAAACATGATCTCTATAGAATAGTGACATTTTAGTGGTAAAGAAAAATATAAGAAATATGTCTTTCTGGGATCTTTTCAAACTACATAAATTTCTCTCAGATGCCTATCTCTATATAGCTCCTCATTTTTCCCACTCCAGATAGAAACTCAACTGCCATACCCTTTGGTTTCCTTGGAGTAGAAAAAAAAAAATAGTGACTGCTATGGATTGAATTGTGCCCCAAAATTTATGTTGAAGACACAAACCCCAGTGTGACTATATTTGGAGATAAGGCTTTTAGTTGGTAATTAAGGTTAAATGAGGTCTTAAGGGTGGAACATTAATCCAATAGAATTAATGGCCTTATAAGAAGAGGAAGAGAGAGGGAGACCTCTTTCTCTCTGCCATATCAGGACACAACAAGGAGATGGCTGTCTACAAGTTAGAAAATGATTCCTCACCAGAAACTGAATCTGCTGGCACCTTGATCTTCAACTTCCCAGACTCCAGAACTGCAAGAAATAAATTCTCATTGTTTAAGCCACCCAGTTTGTGGCAGCCTGAGCAGACCAAAGTAGTGACTATTATTATAGAGAATTTAGAAAAATAATAAAATAAAACCATATGAATCTACTGCAATCTCTTTTTGAAAATGATCTCTATGAATTTTTTTATTATCTTAATAACATTTATTCTGTTTTCTATTTAGGAAACAGCATGTAGTCATTGTATTAAAATTAGAAAAAGGATAAAAGCACCAAGAAGGAAATGAAAATTACATCATCCACAAATAACTAGTTATTACAATTTTGGTGTATATATTTCTAAACAATGATAATTTTTTTTTCCTTTGTGATCATAGTAGATCACACGTATATACAATTTTACAAGTTGGTCTGTTCACTTATTGCCACTTTTTCCCCATATAATTTAACATTCTTAAAAAAACATTATTTTCAACGGCGTCATAACCTTCTATCAAATTGATGTATTATTTATTCAACCAGTTTTCTATTATTTGCCAGTTTGGTTGTTCTTAATTTTTTGCTATTATGAAGAGTGCTGCAATGAACATATTGATACATCAGTCTATATTTATTTTCTGATTATTTTCCTTAAGTAAATTCCTAGAGGGATTGCTAGGTCATGTTAATAAACATGCCTAAGAATTTTGATACCTGTCACCAAATTGTTTTCTAGGAATGTTTCAAGAATTTATGCTCCCATAGGTAGATATTGAGAATTCTCATCCATCCACCTGTTGTATACATGAAGATATCAACAGCACTGCAACAAAATTTAAAAACATATTTGCAGGTTCGACAGAAGAAAAATGTTATACCCATATTTCAATTTATATATTTTTAATTACTTGTTGAGGTGAATTTGATTTGTTTTGTGTTATCACTTATTGGTTATCTCTGCGTTCCCTAAGTCTTTTGCTGTTTTTCTATTATATATATTTTTCATATTGATAAAAGCATTTTATTAAGTAGTAAGGGTATTACATGTAACTTTATTAGATTTGTTGTAAGAAATTTCCAATTTACTATTGTGTCTATGGAGTTTTTTAATGTATAGAAAGTAATACATTTTATAAGTTTATTCATTTCTCTTAATGTTCAGATAGTCCTTTATCATTCTGAGGTCATATAAAGATTCACCTGCTTTTTCATCTAATTTTTTTGCAGTTGTGTTTTTATCTTACTTTTCCTTTTTTTTTTCCTTTTTCTGGTGTAAAATTTGAGTGAAGCTATTTTCTCTGCTTTATTTGTTTGCTTAAAATTATCTCAGCTCTATTCACTGACTAATATTTTTTCCCTCCCCTCTGAGTTGGAATACCAATGTTATGCTAAAATCTTACATATACTAGCTTCTGCTTTTAAGTTATGTAAAGTATGTATTACTTTTTAAATTATATAGATTTATATTTTAATGTCTTAAAGAAGTTGCTCATTGTTGCACTTTGTTGTCAGATTTTACTTGAATATTCTTGCCTGTTGATTTTTAAAGATGAATTTTGGAATTACAGTTCAACATCGTAAAATCATCCTATAGGATTTTGACTGAAGTTGTATTAGACTATTAATTAATTTCCTAAGAATTTACACCTTTTACCTTATTCAATTTCTGCAACTAGGCTGTGGTATTCTTTTATTTTTGTATTTTTTTACATATACTAAAATATGCTTATTTTAGTATATGTAAAAAAGACTTATGTATACTTTTTTTCTTGTCCATCAGCAAAATTTTATAGTTTTTTTGTTTACAAGGGTCTTAGATTTTTAAATAATTGTTATTTCTAGTTGATCTTTGTTTTGGGGATAGATTTTCTCCCACTGTATTTTCAAAATGCCTATTTTCAGTGAACAGGTAAACTATTAATATTTTAACATTTATTTTGTATTTGGACACTTTGCTTTTATTTTTGTTAATTTCTCATTTGATTCACCTAAGTTTTCTAAGAATGAAGTCGTATTAAATTCACATGATGGTGATTTTGCTTACTCCTTTAAAGGAACTGTTTCTCTTATTCTGATTTTATGTTTAATTGCGTTGCTTATAATCATAAAAAAAATTCGTAACAAAAAAAAGAGAGGAAAACATCTTTTATCTTCATGAATGATAAGAAAGAAGGCCGAGTATATTGGCCCATGCCTGTAATCTCAACACTTTGGGAGGCTGAGGTGGGGGGACTGATTGAACCCAGGAGTTTGAGACCAGCCTGGGCAACATGGTGAAACCCTGTCTCTACAAAAACGAAAATTAGCCGGACATGGTGGTGCACGCCTGTAGTCCCAGATACTCGGGAGACTGAGATGGAAGGATCACCTGAGCCTAGGGAAGTCGAGGCTTCATTACAAACCCTGATCATGCCACTGCACTCCAGCCTAGGTGACAGAGTGAGACCCTGTCTCAAAAAAAAAAAAAAATGAGAAAGAATGCTTTGGTTTTCTTTTTCTTGCCCACCTCCTTTTTTGGTCGTTTCACATTTTTTTTCTCTATGAAGACTTATTTTTAAAGTTTTAATTCATTTATTTTCTGATTACTTTTGTAGCAGGCGTATCATGTTCTGATAGTCTTAGTGCTTAACATTAGTCATTTTATATTATGACTTTCCCTTAGTCAAGAAATTTGATTCATTTCTTAATAATCTGAAATATTTGTGTGTGATATGTCTTCTGAGGTTTTGTATACTGGAGGACATCATTTGTTTCTTTTAACCATAAATTGTAACTTGGCTGGATATAGAATTCTTATATTAAAATCTTTTCCCCTAAAAACTTCATAACTTCATAGATTTTGCTTCATTTTCTTTGGTATTCAGTGTTACAGAAAACGAAGTGTAAATATAACTGAATTTTTCTCCCATGCTTGAAATCCACACTTTTTGCTTTGTAATATTTAAATCTTAGTCATATTGTTCATAAACTTTGCCTTATCCTAGGTCAGCTTACTTTATCTGAAGACATGGATCTTTATTTGGAGCAGGAAAGTTTTCTTCTATTTTTTGATAACTGCTTAAGGTTAATGTATTCTAGATTCCTCTCCAGTAACACCAATAATGTATAGGTTTAATATCTGATGTCTTGACATTATAAATGTTTGACTTTTCTCTCTCATACACTTTGTCTCTTTTCCTTTTTCTGTATCCTGTGAGATCTTCTCCACCTAGTCTGCCCTAATAATGATTTGAATTTCTGTAATATTGAGTCTTTTTTCTTTCTTACCTTCTCTCCTCTTGTCATTCAGCTCTCTCTTCATCCTCACTTGAAACCCTATTTCTTCTCTCACTAGCAGCTATACAACTTTGGTTATTATATTTAACCTCTTTGTTCTCCATTTTTCTCATCAACAAAAGGTGGATACTAATTATTTCCACAGAACAAAATTAGATTGTTCTTGAGAACTTTTAGAAAAATACCCAGTCCCTAGAAATGTGTCAATATGTTTTAATCAGTATTACTGTTATCAGCAGCCTCAGCATCTCTCCTGTATCTGAGCAATACTCCTTTCCTTTAAGCTGTGGTTGTCTCGTTTCTGTGTGTATCTGTGAGTATATTTACACACAGAAGTCATATTTTTTGAATTTAGGGGTAACACAACACAGATACTTTTGAAAATGTACTCCTGCTGTAAATCTTTTTCAAAATCTTCACCTTGAGTACAATGTACCCTTTTTTTATGTTGTAGAATATTTTCATTAGCTTTACATTGTTGCTATTGTTGATTTTTCTATTTATATTTCCTTGTACAAGGAGAGATCTTTTGATAACAGACAGAATAGGTTAGTTCTCTTTGGTGACCCTAGACATCTACTTGGGAGCTGTCAGAATCCTCCCTCAATGGTAGGTTGAAGGATTGGTTTGTATGCAGAGTATTTAATCAAATTGCTTCTGACTGGATGGTATTTGGCAGGAGTAGGGCTGCATTTAACCAACATGGCACATGTATACATATGTAACAAACCTGCACATTGTGCACATGTACCCTAGAACTTAAAGTATGATAAAAAAATATATAAAAATAGATAACATTAAAAAAAGACTACTCTCCTGTTGGTCCTCTCTGACTATCCTATTCTATAGAGGGGAATATATTTTTGGATAATTTGAATTATTATTAAATTCAATCCACTCATCCCTTACTCAAAATACTGGGTGAAAAGCTGCGCTTTTTGAACTGCATCGCCCCATCACTCTTCTTGTCTTGGCTCATATTCCTGATGCATTTGCCAGATGCAAGGTGTCATCACATGCCCAGCCCTGACCCCTGCCATTCTGCCTTGTTGTGAGTTGTAGCATCTAAACAGATCTATAAACAGAAGTATTGATGGTGATTTGGAGGGCTGATGTGGACTTGGCACCTGCATTTTGGGGGAACAGGCTTTTGGCCCTCTAATAGGTGAAAGCCATACAGGCAGGTATGTAGAAACCTCTCACTTTCTTCCTGCTTGCTTTTATTATTTTGTCTTAAAGTTTTATTCACATTTTAATGGAATTGCCTTCAAGGGTCTGGCAGCATGTTGACTAATCTTTCTAGTACCATTGACACTGTATCTCTACATGTGATTTTGTGAGTAAGTATTCAAGATAAATTGAGAGAAGTTTAATAAGGCCTCTCTAGGAAGCTTTAAAATGTATCAGTTGAAAACAAAAGACTTTTTAACTATAGAATCATAGAGCCAGTGAAGTCTTAGACCAAAATTTTCATTTTATCATTGAGGAGACTCTTTTGAAGCAAAGTTACCTGTCTGAAGTAACAAAGAGGCCAGAGCCTGGGTCTCCTCACCTTTTGTCATTCAAGTTCCTTGGTCACTAAAAAAAATTGTTTTTAGCTAATTTGAGAAGTCTAGATTTTCAATCCAGTTTTTATCATATTTAGGAATTTCTTAAATAGCGAGAAGCCTTATTCCATGAAAAAATACGGAACTACAAGGTAAGCTTCACCGGAGAGTCCTGAAGCTCCTCACTGTTTAAGCACTTTAGGGAACATTTGCATGCCCTTCTTCCCATCTCTTCTATACGAATGTCTAACAACTATCAGTGGGCAAATAATCAAACTGGGATAATAGTTTTCTCAGAAGAGTTGGTTCTTTGATACATGATCATATTGTGCCATTCCGTATTCAAATGTGGCTGTCCCTCTGTGTCTCAGCTGCTGCAAGACTGCTCCTCTCGTCTCAAAATGACCCACCCAGCTAGAGCACTGTACACCCCCAGTGGAGAGCCAATTCAGTCCTGGGACGACATAGAGCGAGATATGGTCATCTGTGTGTCTATGGGACATGGTTTCAAAACCCCAAAAGGTATGCATGATAGTTTCTTTTCCATCAAGTCTTTGAAGAATTAAAGCATTCAATCTTCTCTTGGAAGAGCTTATATCCCATCACAATGATTTTTAATAATTATCCCCTCCCAAGCATTTCTACTCCATGTTATGGAAGTTAAATTTATATATTTATGTGCTGGAACCTCGTGTTAACACTGTTTGCTCTGGAGAATTCAATCGCATTTCAGTTAATCTTGAACCTTATCCAGGGGGCTTATTTGCAGAAATACTGAGAGCCTCATTTGAAGGTATTCCCCTAGTATGAACCCTGAGGAAAGTGAAGCTCCACTAATTTCCTATTTTTCAAATTACTTAAAACTTAATGTTTTATTAATAGTAATTATGTGGTTTGCAGTTTCTTTTCTTTAGTAATAAGTAAATATTTTCTAGAGTTATTATCTTGTCTATTCGTTGGTCATTTTCTTTGATAAATGACAGAAATTGAAAAGGACATATATTTGTTATTGAATGAACTCTAGTTCTTTATCCTATATATCCTGATGAAGTTAAAGCCAGTATTTGTAGGTAGGTATATATTAGCAAAGATATAATTTTCAGGAGATTCCGAAGAACACTGTTATCACTCTAAAGGAAACTAAAAGATTAGGTAATGAATTGCCTGGCATCCCTATGTTGGTAATAGTAGATATTTTCTTTTAAGAAGTCACCATAAAATTATTATTACTATGTTGTATGTAATGTAGGCAAACCAAAAACTTCTAAAACAGTTGCAATTCTATCTTTACATTTAGCCCAGAAGGGACAAAAGGATAGAAATGGAGACCAAAAAGTAGGGAGACGGGATTTATTAGGATGCCTAGCACTGTTCTGAGGGAAGCCACAAATATTCCTCCTGCACCATCCTACATTATGGATGAGGTGCCAGTCCTTTTATTCTTTGTTTTCTGCTGTTCCCATCACCCATCACTACCCTTCACCCTGGCTCTTGGTGACCCTCACTACATGGGTACTTAGAAGAACACACGAATGATGAGGTTCTTATTATCAGTAAGTATTAGTCAATAGCTTTCTGTATCCCCAGTTTGTAGGTTATAAAATAAACATAAGCTAGGCTCCTTTTCTGAGAGTTTTCAATCTAATTAAAAATATGAACACACGTGAAATAATTACAATACAATCGAATAGTGAGCAAACGTGTGCAGTAGGAGGTACCTTCCCAGTCCCTTCATTATCTAGGCTTAGTCTTCGATATTCCTGGGATGGGTTTCTGTTGCCTGTACCACACCTTTCTTGCAGTATTGTGTCCGTTGAGCCTGTGTGATAAATAAAGCTAAATATGCTTCAGGCAAGCTAGCCAAAAGGGTATCCAACGACAAAGAGAGATGTTGGCTGCCTTCCCAGAAACAAGCTTGTCAACAATAAAAACTGTGACTGGAAGAGAAAAAATATTGGAAATGCAAATATTGCTCTTTCTACCATTTTCCTCCATGTTAGCTCTGTGTATCTTTGATAAAGCTATGGAGACAAATGTTCATTTTTGCATCTTCAATTTTATAAATACATAGATTACCATCGTATGAAAGTTTATTTCTTTCCTATGACAATAGGTTCCCCATGTTACCTTCATGGTGAAAGGATTAGTGGTTTCCTCCTATTGTCTCAGTTCTTTCCAATGAGCTATATATGTTCCAGGATACAGGAAATCTCTGATCGCAGAAAGTCTGATTTAGTCGTTCTTTAGAAACTTATTTTATTGTTGCCATTAAGTAAGTAATACTCATTTATTAGAAATCTAAATATTCAGAATGCTTTAAAAAAGAAAAGATAGAAATGCAACTACATGCCTATACCCATTAAGGGACATTTACTTAATCATTCCACTCATGCTGTTTCTGTGACCTACTGGCTTAAGTATGTAGGAAGAAAATAAAGCAGTCTGGGAGTTTCAAAAGCACTCTATGATAACTTATTTTATGCATTATAATATCAAAAAACATTTAGTATGTGAAATTCATCAAAGAATCACTTCGGGTTTTTTAAAAAATCAATTGGATTTTGCAAAACAAACCAGAAGCTATTAGAATGGCTTCTTTCACACAAACCCCTGACAAAATTAAAAGAGTGTTTTATGCCATTTGCCATAAAATCTGAACACTGTTCTCACTGCTGCTTTCTGTCTTTTCAGTGGGTGCAATTTTTAGACCAGCCCTAGGTTAGCTTCCAATTCAGGCTTTGTAATAAACCTGGAAAGAAGTCCTCTCTAGCAACTTCCATTCTCTAGCAATCCAAAGACTATTAACAATATATCTCATGTGATAAGAAGTCAAAGTTGTAATGAGAGAGCCCAGGGTGGGAGCCAAGGATTTGTGAGGGGTCTTCAAGTTTTTCATCATCCTGGACTTTTAATTATTTTCTATAACATTGACTTGTCTCTCAACTTCTTTTTTTTTTTTTTTTAACAGAGTTAAAACAACTGATGGAGATCAGAGCAAATTATGCCAGAATCCGAAGGCAGCAGGGCCCTCAAGCCACAGACATTGTGGTGTCACCATCCACGAAGCTGCTGTCTCTGGCACATCTCCACAATTAACTCCTATCAGAACCATCGGATTTTCTGCTGTATTTTTCTGGTATAGCTATGTGCACATACTCATGTTTGTTATGACATTATGATTATTTATCTCTTTTATTTTCATGCAGTTCCCCCCTCTTTCTTTTCTGAGACAGGTTCTTGCTCTGTCACCCAGGCTGGAGTGTAGTGGCACAATCACAGCTTACTGCAGCCTTGACCTCCCGGGGCTCACGTGATCCTCCCATCTCAGCCTCCCAAGTAAATGGGACTACAGTCATGCACCACTACACCCAGCTAATATTTATATTTTTTTTAGAGATGGGGTTTTGCCTTGTTGCCCAGGCTGGTCTTGAACTCCTGAGCTCAAGCAATCCTCCCACCTCGACATCACAAAGTGCTGGGATTGTAGGCATGAGCCACTGCACCCAGCGATCTTTTTTGAAGGTTATTACCCTCCGCATTTTACATAAAGTGACATTTGATGCCTCAAGTTTGTTCCTGGAAAGGCAACAAAACTAGACAAAATAATGCCAGCAAAATAACTATCTTCGGTGGATTTTCTTCCAAGAAAAGAAGGAAACTACTAGTCATTAGTGAAATATAATTTCACAGGATCAAATAGCTTATGTAAAATACTTTTTATATATAATCGAACATTCCATCAAACATTCCATATATGGAATAGAAAATATATTCCATATATGGAATGTTTTGATAATACAAAAAGACTCTGACCACTAGACACTAAATTTGACCCTAGCTGACATTTTCTGGCTCAGCCACGATATTTTCCAAACCTCTGTATTAAAATCCTTAATATACTGAATACAAATGAAATGGCTGGTGGCCACCAAATGCCACACAAATCAATGCTTTCTTCTTCAATTTCTCATCAGTTTCACCTGTAGTAACAGTGCAGGACCTTTTATGGGGTACAGTTAGATTCTGTTCATGAGAGTAAAGCTTGGCAATTCCCAATATGTGCCCAGTGATCAAAAGTCATAGACTGTGTCCTCAATTCAAAAACTTAGGGAAAGGATATATGCACTATTTAAAAGAAAAATTATGGAAGGTTTATTTTTTGAAAAGAAATCAAGGGAGATCCCTAGCAATCTTAGGTATTAATCCTACAGGTAGGGAAGAATTTACAAGAAGAAGACAGAACCATTAAAAAAATAGCAGTTACAAATCAGAGTTTAGTTTCTGCTTTTGGTGAAAAATTTCCAGAGAAATGCTCTTCTTCCCAGTGTTCCTCTGAAAACCACTCACAACTCTGTATGAATATAAATTGTACTCTGGCTAGGTGTGTACAGAATGGCTCAGCTGGGTTCACTTCTCAATCCTCCACTTTAATGTGATGCAGGAAGGCAGTATATCATTTCTACTGAAGGGGGCTCTTGGTAATCGCTGCAAAAGGCCTAGTATTTACTCCCAGTCTGCAAATCAGTAGGGCTGCATGAATAAATTCCTGCTGCCTCTGACACCACTAAAAGCAAAGCACATTGAGGTGAAATTTCACATGTTACATCAACAGCAATTTGCCCTTTTACAGACATTTTCTCTATGTGTTGTGTGATGTTAGAGATGTGAAGGTATTCCAATGCATCTGTGTGCCATATAGGAGAAAAAGATTGCATGTGACTTCTGTTTTGCCTTTTCTTTTTTTTTTTAAGCAAGAAAGTCAAAACAAGAAGGGTTAAGAAACTTGCTCCCCGTTGGAAAGGGAGCCAAGAGGACTCTTGCCAACTGGGCCTCTCCCTAGAATGACTCAATCACAATCCTTCTATAGACAATTTTTTGTTTTCATTCCTTGAAAACAAAGACATCTCTCTAGGTGCAAAAGTACCTATCACTTTCCTGCCAGGGAAAAGTTGATTTGCTATGAAAATGGCATAATTTCACCCTGGATCAAATGTGCAAATTCTTGTGAAGTCATCACTGTTGCATGTGAATACGCCTGAAGCGAAAATTGGTAATATCACACAACGCTGTATCAAGCATCAGGAGACATAAGGCAAAAGTCTTAACTGAACTTTTCTATTACTAGTAAATGGGATTTTAGATGTAATGTAACAGTCATCAACACATCACATTTTACCAGCAAGGCAGCGACACTTACTTTGTAGATGACAGCTAGCCCTGGGTATCTTGGTAGTTCATAGCCACTTTTAGCTTAGACTAAAAACAGCCCTGCTCTTTCCTTACTCTTGACCTTCCTCTTTGGTTGGCTGCAAGGTGGACTGGGGAACAGTTTCTCTACCTTCAGCAAGGAATATAGGATAAGACCATTGCAAATCTGTTCAGCCATCTAGGCTTTTAATAAATGCAGTAATTTCCTTTGGGAACATGTTTATCAAATTTGAATCAGCCTCATATATGTAAGTCAGATTTCAGTATTTTTCTATCAACTGAAAACAATTTATTATTAAATACTAAAGCAACCATCCCTAAGTCCATGGCCTACTCCAAAAATTTATTTCCTGATAGTTCACAAACACCCTTAAGGTGATCCAGATGTTAATCAACAGTGTAGAAGCATTTGGGATTTTCCTCAGGAGAACTGAATTTTTCTGCCCATCGCTCTAGCTTTCGTAATCTGATTAAGTGTTAGGGTAAAGTTGCAATGTTTCTAAGCAAGTAAACTAAAAGCAATATGCCTGAAAGTCTGGCAGTCTTTCTGAGAATAACTAACAGTATTTATAAATAAGAAGCATTTTATCTGGATGCTTATGTCAGCTTTGTAAAACAGGATATATTAGTAATGATTCAAAATGCAAAGGTAGCTTTGAAGGGCAATAACCCTAAATCTCTGTTTTTTTCCTTGATTGTTTATCATAATTAAATATTGTTTCCCTAATTAAGAAAACAAAGCAACAATCAAACAAATGACAGCAGAAGGATAAATATAAATATATTCTCTTTTGTCAGAGACTCACTTAGAAATTGTGGCTCGTGGCTGTTGAAGCATTTGTGAGCTAACCTTCAATAATAGCCCAGGTGTGCTGAGTGCCATTGAGAGATTTGTGATTCACCATGGCAGCATTTTTTTTTTTTGCATCATTTGGAAGCGAATGATCAAAACACACAAATCTGCGTCATTTGGAAGCGAATGATCAAAACACACAAATCTGCGTTATTCTAGTACATCACAAAATCAGATGCAAATGTCCCCAGTTATGGGAAATTTAGACTCAGTGGTGACTCTCAGTTGTTTCTATTGAACCGCTGGTTCTGGTTCCCTCCTGGCTTTGAAAATATCTCAACCCCGTGTCCCCTCTACGAGGCTAGGTAAGTAGAATGAAAGAGTAACAGTTTTGTTCTCGACACAGTAAATTAGAATTCTGCATAAATGGCATGGTTTGGGGCTGTGTGGCCATAAGCAACTACAAAGCAAGATCAACAAAGACCACTCAGGAGAAAGCTGATGAAAATAAATGGACTGACCGTGTAACCGTAGGTATTCAGTGGGTGCCTGCTGGCAGCTATAACATTTTCTAATTCTACGAGTCTGGAATATGAAACTACTATCAAGGCTGTCACCCTGTACCAAATGTATAAATAGAAATATATGAGAGAGGAAATACATATGCCCATAGTGCAACTGGGTTGAAGGAGAGAGGAAGAAAGGAGACGAGAAATTCTATATCTATGGCAAGTAAAATGGTGATTCTGAATTGGATGTGCTATTGCTCATTGTCTGTGGTATCCCTCTGTGGGCTTGCAGGCAGATACAAGCTTCAGTCGAGCTGTTGGACCTATCAGGTCCTAGCTTGCCAGTCCTAGAGCAGTAATTTCAATGTAGGAAACTGATATTAGGGTTTTAGCTCAGGTGCACATGCTCAGGAATGTCAGCTGTGTGAGACCAGCTGAGGCAGTTCGGTGGTCATCTCTGGTGCCACCACTGGAAGCTGTGTTTTAAAGGAAATTTCCTGAAGGGCACTGTCCTTTACTCAGTGACTATGCTGGAGAGAGGTGGAGGAGAGGAGGGAACTTCCCAGGGCTCCTAGGTTAGTGCCTCTAAAAATCTAAAATCTGATTATATCTCTGTTCTCATTTCCATTACTTTTTCTCCCTCTTCCCTCCTCCCTCTTCCTCCCTGCCTCTTGGCCTTTTCCCGTCTTCCTGGCTTTTCTCCTCTAAGAGTCTTTAAATCCCATCTTTCATTTAAAAAGAAAAAACTGTTTCCTGGAACAATTTGTGTATTGGCAAGAGATACTTCCTTAATATGATTCTCAAATTTGAGTGTGCACAAGAAACACCTGGTGTGCTAGATAAAATACAGATTTCCAGGCTTGGTCCCAGCACTGGTCATAATCTCTATGCCTAAGGTATAAGGAATCTGCATTTTAACAAGCACCTGGGAAGAAGCACGTCGTGACCACAGTGTAAGAAACTTTGCCAAGAGTTTTAGGCCTGCCAGGGACAGTGCTGTTTATTATCAGCAGGGCATGGCCCAAGTGGTAAGTACCAGTTTTAAGAACAAAGCCTGTATTCAGGGGCTATGAAGACAATGAAACATTTGCTTTGTATGTGAGTATTTGAGTCTAAGTAGCCTCATGTTTTCTCATCACAGTTCCCTTAAGAAATGATGGAAATGTTCTTGAGTCAGATATAACCACCCAGAGATTTTAACTAGGACCCAGACATTGGAAGGCTAAACAAGTGAGTTTGAGGTGCTGAAGCTTTCCATGTTCATTAAGCTGCCTTCAGTGCTGATAAAATCTTGCTATTTTAAAGGTCACAGGAATAATATCAGTGCTGTGGTACATATATCAGGGAGCGGAGTACTTTTGAGGGTGGGGAAAATAACCAGCTTCCTGGAGTTTTCTTATACATTTTTATATGTACAAAGAAGGAGAGCTTTGGAACAAGGAGAGGATTTCTATTTTCCATCATTGCTCTTTCTCCTGTGAAGGAGCTACTTGAACATCTCTTTTCTGTTTGCCCTAAGTCTAGTTAGCAAGGAAGTGTGAGCACCTGCATCCCTGGCAGGCTCACCCAAGAGTGTGAAAATCCACAGGACGTTATTTCAGTTCGGTAACAAATTCTCTTAGAAAAATGAATTTTCAAGATAGTTCTCTTGCCAGACCAATGAAATCCATATAGCTTGAGAGACAGACACTCTCCTTGGAAGACAGACACTTTCCTTGGAAAACAGAGAATACAAAGAAAATTAGTTTTTCTAACACTTAATTCATGTATATACCAGTTTGTTCTCTCTCTCTCTCTCTCTCTCTATATATATATATATATATATGTATATACACACACATTTTTATATATTTATACATTTTTATATACAAATATAAAAGTTTAAATTTTTCCTTGCCTCTTGTTTAGTGTAGTCATTTTGATAGGATAAATCCCATTGTGGATTTTGATTTTTATTACTCTATCTTCTACTACCCCACCCTCTAAGCTAGCCCAGCTAACAGCTTTCCCAATGTTAAAACTGTGCGTGTGTATATATATGCAGAAGATAGAGAGAGAGAGAGAGAGACAGAGAGAGACAGAGAGAGAGACAGAGAGAGAGAGAGACCAGCTTGTATATACATGGTATATGCATGAATATATATATACATGAAAAATATATATTTATATATATATATATTCAGGCAGTCACTGCACTCACTGTTCTAGGTGCTGGGCATGCAGAGGTGAATGTGACAGATGTGATCCCTGTCCCCGTGGGGCTCATGCTGTGTGCTGGGGAGGAGAGGCATTTAGAAGTTAAATACCCAAATAAAATAATTATGTGCAATAAATAGTTACACATTGTGTTAAGTCTTATGAAGGAAACCAAGTTCAGTTAGAGAATTACTGGAGGGGAGGTAGGGGTGACATACTTAATGAACGGCATGTTTAAAGCCTTATATAAGGAAGTGAGTTAAGCTAAAAGACAAGAATGAATCAGCCATTGCAAATGGAAAGAAGCAGAATGAGGGTTGTCGTAGGGAACGGAGTACCAGGCAGAGGTGAGAATCAGGAAAGAGCGTGGCATGCTCAAGCTACCAAAGGAAGGTCCAAAGTAGCCACTGTCCAACAGAAAGATCACAGGAGCCACATGAGTAATTTGAAATTTTCTAGTAGCCACATTTTTAGAAAAGTTAAAAGAAATGTGTGAAATACATTTTCATACCATATTTTATTCAACTCAATATATCCAAAGTATTAGCATTTCAACATATCATCAATGTAAAATTATTGAGGCATATTTCTTTGTTACTGTTCTAAGGTCTCCATATCCTGTGTGTATTTTACACTTACAGCACATCTCAATTCAGACTAGCTGTATTTCAAGTACTTCATGGCTACTTTTCTTAAAAGAACTAATTCACAAAAAACAAAACAAAACAACAACAACAAAAAATGGCACTAGGACTGTTTTAGTTGCTGGGCATGCAAAGGTGCATGCAATAGTTATGACTGCTTGGCTAGGCCTAGAATGTTGGACTAACAGGCACAAGATGAGCTTGAAGGGGCATGCATGGGCCTGATTATGAGGGCCTTGTACGTAGTGCTAAGGAGTTGGGAGATTATATATATATATAAGTGCACTTTATATATATAACTTGAACAAGCTTAATGTAATACACAATGTCTAGTCCAACATTCACATTAGTTCTTACTGGCTTCCCACTGCAATGTATATATATGTATGTGTGTGTGTATGTATATATGTGTACATATATGTGTGTATATATATGTGTATATATATGTATACATATGTATATGTGTGTCTAAGTGTACTTAATACACTAAGTGTACTCATGTTTTATCACTATAATTCCCTTAGAAATAATGGAAATGTTATTGAGTCAGAACTAACCACCCAGAGATTATAACTAGGACCCAGATATTGGAAGGCGAAACAAGTGGGTTTGAGGTACTGAAGCTCTCCATGTTAATTAAACTACCTTCAGTGCTGATAAAATCTTGCTATTTTAAAGGTCACAGAAATAATATCAGTGCTTGATATATATATCAAGCTGGAATAATATCAGTGCTATATAAAAAGATAGATAGAGAGGGAGATAGATAGATAGATAGTGCAGTGGGAAGCCAGTAAAGAGAACAAATGTGAATGTTGGACTAGACATTGTGTATTAAGTTAGGCTTGTTCAAGTTACAAGTTACAGAGACTCACTCAGTTTACCTCTGGTGATGGAGGTTTGTTGGGAGGATTAACAAGGAAGAGAGGAAGCACAGGAAAGCCCAGAAAACAGGCTTCGTGGTGGCCTCTGTTCAAGACGCATGCCTGTCTGGGTCCCAGTGGCCACCCCAGTAGTCTGCCATTCCTGCTCTTGACTTCCCTGTTTCTCTGTGCTTGGTCCTCATGTGAATTTTCTACTTATCCGAGGGCTCTTCTGTTGTACACTAAGATATGGCACCTACCTACTCATGGCTTCTGTTGCTTAACGGCTTCTGTTTATATTTTTTCCTGCCTTCTCTTTATATTTATTTTGGCTTCAGGGTCACTGTACCATCTGAACTACTTTCTTTGTGTCTTCTAACAGAAGGTTGAATGGATGGCTTCTACTCATTCCTTTAGATTAGGATGTCAGGGACACATGATGCAAAGCACAGTTTCCCTACGTAAGGAACAGTGTAGACTGATCTTTCCTCAGGAAGCTGTGGACATGGCATTGTTAGTATAGACATGTATTTCTGCCATTGTTTTGGTTCTTTTCTCCCTTCACTACTGAGGAATGAAATTAGCAATAGAATCAGCTAGGCTGTCACTATTCCTAATCAGTCAGTGAGAGGCTTGCCCTTGGGTATACACTTAAAACTGACTTTGGTGGGGTGACCTTGATGTTATTTTCTAAGCAGCTGACACAAAATTGAGGTTAGAATCTGTGACTTTGATTACAATATCAGGATGAATACCATTTGAGATCTTAAGTAACACTTCTGAACATAATCAAGTCTGTCTAAAGAAGTGGATGTTGCAGAGACTGGCAAAACTCAAGACACTCTGATTGGCATTCAGGAAATTTTTTCAAATCAATTCCAGTGTCAAACCCTTTTTGTCAGACCTTTCCTTGCCTCTCGTTTAATGTAGTCATTTTGATAGGATAAATCCCATTGTGAATTTTTATTTTTATGACTTTGTTTCCTACTACCTCACTCTCAAAGGCCAGACTTGCCAACAGCTTTCCTAATGTTAAAATATGAGTTCTGTTCACTGGGTGTGACAGTGGTCTGCTGTGCTTTGAGTTGGAAATAGTCGTTATTCTCTAGGACACCCATGGAGCAGTGTTATCCATTAGATAACACCCAGCTCCCATGGGAAGGTTGATATGGGCCACATCTATACATTTAACCAAAGCTGTGTCTTCAAGAGGTGTCTCAGGGAGTTTTCACCAGCAATACAGGCACCGCAGCAACAGCACATACCAGGGTCAACAGGACTCTGCCTCACTCAGGAAATGACTTGATGGCAGAGGTTGATTTCCATTTGCACAAACATACAACTGTTAATATGAGTAAAATGGGATGCATTTATAGGATTTTGTAAGTACTTCAAAGTTGTTTACTTACCCTATCTGACTTCAGACCACTGCCATCACTCACTGGTATAATAACACTGATTTTCCAACTAGTCACTGCACACACCCCCACCCCCAGAGCCTTGCTTCTATCGAATTCTTTGTCAAAGTTGTAGCCAGAATGATCTTTCTAGAATAAGAATCATATCATGTCACTTCCTCACTTAAAGAGCTTAAGTGGCCCTCTGTTGCCATCAAAATGCAGGACAAACTCGCTCCCCTGTGCCCAAAGGCCTTTGGAATCCGGAGGTCCCCTGGCTCTGAAGTCTGGGTTCTCAGCCCTTTGTTCACAGAGTTCTGCACTCCACCCATGCTAAACTTTTCCCCATTCCCCAAGATTGTATATTCTCTCTTACTTCCATGATTTTGCACATTTTCTTCCTGCAGCTTTCTCATGTCATTTTATATGACTGTGTGGGGAACTTCCTTCCATGTGCTCCCCCTGTACCTGTTGCTCACCCTTGTAGGACTTACCACTGTGGACATGCCCTTTCTCTCACTGGTCTGCAAACTCCATGAAAGTAGGGTGTTCAGAATTGTGTTCCCAGTGCCTGAATAGCCCTTACTACATAGCAGGCGTTCATGAATATTTGTTGGATGAATGTGAGATTTAGGGTAACTTGTTGGTTTAAAAAGTTTTATTTTTGTTCCTTTTTAGCCATGCATTGAAATATCTGCTTTTCAAATGTAAGTACTACACTGAATCAGAGTTTAGCTTTTTGTAGAACTTTCTTCTCACGTGCATTATGTCAATCCATAGAACATCACATTGCCTTCTTATAAAACAAATCTGCACCTGTTGATAAGACAGTATAGACTGACTAAATTCCCTTTACCAAAAGGCAAACCAAAGCAATGTTGACTAGGAATCCTACTTTGCCAACTGTACCTTTCAAAACACTCCAACAGCCTGAAAGAGTGGAAAACACTTTTCTTCCATCAGAGACCAGACAGACCCTCTGTTGCAGGCAGCCTGGCTTAGAAGGGAAGACTTGTCACCCCCTTTCACAAGCGTGATGATTTGTGGCTGAGAAGGGAGAGGCTGCTCTCTGAACCACATGCTCCCTGGTGCAGGCAGGCTAAGGAAAGATGAATGGCATTATAAGACAGACATCTGAATGTTTCGTATTAAATTAGTCCCACAGAGCACCCAGAATTCTCATTCCATAAATCACAAAGTAAAGTAAACTCACTCCCAGGTTAGATTGCTGTGACTTTGGCCTGGGGTGTTATAGATAATCTGAGAACAGTTAAACATTTGTCTGAAATAGTAATAATTTTGAGCATATTTACTCAGCAGCATAGAGGTGACCCAGACTGATCTCTGCTGCCAGAAACAGCATGTAAATGGGAGTCAGCCAATTTAGAAGATTTCCAAACAAGAGTCACTGCTTCTCACATCCTCTGTCTACTCTGAAACTGCCATGAGCTCTTTCAGGAGCTCCTGGGTGCTGCAGGCCCAGATGAGCAAACTTCACCCTCTCTATAGAGCAGGTATGGGCTGGGCGTGGTGGCTCATGCCTGTAATCCTAGCACTTTGGGAGGCCGAGGTGGGTGGATCACCTGAGGTCAGGAGTTCAAGACCAGCCTGGCCAACATGGTGAAACCCCATCTCTACTAAAAATACAAAAATTAACCACGTGTGGTGGTGGGCACTTGTAATCCCAGCTACTTGAGAGGCTGAGGCAGGAGAATCTCTGGAACCCGGGAGGCGGAGGCTGCAGTGAGCCGAGATCACACCACTACACTCCAGCCTGGGCAACAGAGTAAGACTCCATATCAAAAAAAAAAAAAAAAAAAAAAAAAAGCAGGTATGAAAGAGCATGGATGCACCCCTCCCCCTCTACTAAATTGCAGTTATAGCACCATTTTGAAATCCACCTTCACCTTGTCTTGGTGTAAGAATCAGAGTTAGGAAGCATCTTGATTCCACTAAAGCCACATTTCTCTTCAATGACAAAGGCTTATTCTGAGACTATTTTACATATCTTTGGATCTATTCTGGTTCTTCCATTCTTGAGCTGACATTGTGGGTATTCAGGACACTAATTAGAATGGAAGGAATATTGGGCTGGGACTCATGAGATCATCCAACTTGATGCTGACTGGCCGAGGGACCATATAAGCTGCTACATCCTCTTCTAGAAAATGAAAAGAGCAGATTCCTCTAAAGTTGCACCCAGCTTTAAAAGTCTGATTCTAATTCAGTGATATGATTAGGAAGATATGATTTTATTTTTTCCTCTCTCTCTCTTCCAGCTGATTCCTGGAAGTTCATCTGCTTAGTAGGTCCTTTCTACAGGTGCTCACCAGGATCTGCATATGGGGTCACCTTCACCTTCAGAAGCCCAATTTAAATCTCACCAGAGCAACAGAGGGAGGTCATAGCATGACTTTGTGGTAGCCAAGGTCTGGAGGTCACTCCTTCCAGGGAAAGATTCCTGGACTTGGAGACAAAGGCCTGACTTGAGTCTTACCTTCCTGCAGTCTTGGGAAAGTTTCTTGGCATAAGACTCAAATGAGATCATCAACACAGGAAGAGAAGGGCACTAACATTTTTAGAGTGTCTACCTGTACCGGGCACCATAATGGACTTTTACATAAATGTTGTCTGTCTCATTCAGTATTCACAACCACCCTACGAAGTAGATATTTCTTCTACTACTTTTACATTTTACAGACGGGAAAGCTGGGCTTTCAAGAAGTGAAATATCTTTGCTAAAGGCACCAGCCAATAAGTGGCAGAACTGGGATTTATACCCAAATCTGCCTAACCTCAAAGCCTGCTTTTTCCATTTAGGTTCCCTAGAAACCCCTTGTAAGTTTTCAGTGCAATAGAAATGTTAGATGTGGTCTTGGTAATTCTGAAAATGAGTTCACTAGATGCCTTGAAGTGATCATTTTTATGGTTTAGTTGCCGCTTATTTGGATGACTTTCCTGATGACAACTGAGTTAGGCAAGGTAAGCTACATTTGGATGCCCAACCCAAGGTGTGAGAACAGAAATCTATTTCTCACATTTCTGGAGGCTGGGAAGTCCAAGATCACAATCAAGGCACTGGTGTATGGTGAGGGTCTTCTTACTGCTTCCCCACAGGGCAGAAAGTGGAAGGGCAAGAGAAAGCAAACCCACTCCCACATGCCCTTTTTATAGCAGCATTAATCCATTTATGAGGGTAAATCCCTCATGACCCAAATACCTCTCAAAATGCCCCACTTCCCAACGTTGTTGCATTGGGGAGTCAGTTTACAGAACATGACTTTTGGAAGTCATATTCAGACCACAGTAGGTGCCATAATTAAGTACCACAAGAGGGGTAGCTTAAACAACAAAAGTGTGTTGTCTCACAGTTCTGAAGGCTGGAAGTCCAAGATCAAGGTGTTGGCAGCACTGATTCCTTCTGAGGGCTATGAGGAAGAATCTGTGCCATTCCTCTCCTTAGTTTCTGATGATTTGCTGGTGCTGTGGACTGAAAATTTGTGTCCCTCCAAAATTCATATGTTGAAACCCAATCCTCAATGTAATAGTAGTAAGAGCTGGGACCCTTAGGGGCTAATTAAGTCATGAGGGCAGTAGCCTCATGAATGGAATTAGTGCCCTTATAAAATAAGCCCAAGAGAGCTGCCATGCCTCTTCCACTATGTGGGGACACAGCAAGAAGGCACCATTGGAACCAGGCACCATATGAAACAGGAAGCAAGCCCTCACTAGACACCAAATCTGCCGACACCTTGATCATAGACTTCCCAGCCTCCAGAACAGTGAGAAATAAATTTGTATTTTTTCTAAGCTACCCAGTCTATGTTATTTCATGATAGAAACCTGAATAGACTAAGAAAAGCTGGCAATCTTTTGACATTTCTTGGGTTGTAGAAGCATCACCTCAATCCCTGCCTTCATATTTATGTGACATTCTTCCTGTGTCCTTGGGTCCAAATTTTCCCATTGTTGTAAGGACATCAGTGATACTGGATTAGGGGCCCACCCTAGTCTAGTGTGACTTCATCTTACCTAATTACATCTGCAATGATCTTATTTCCAAATAAGATCACATCCTGAGGTGCTGGGGGTTAGGATTTTGACATGTGAATTTTGGGGGAATGCAATTCAACCCATAATAATCAGTAACAAAAATCCCCAAACCTCACCCACACAAGCCTTCTTCATAGCACAAGTGCCCTACCATTAAAGATTGCAACATTCTTTCTTGATGACATGCCTCTCTCTTTTATGTCTTTCTTGTTCCTTACTAACACTGATGTCTGATATTAATGGAAAAACCATTAAAAAAAAAACTATTATCCTATGAGGTAAATTGAATGCACTCAACTGTAAAAGGAAGACTTATCGATCAATTTTAGTTAAACCTTGCTTGTCTGACACTTTGCTGCTAAGGAATGTGTTTTTATTGCCTGGCCAGATAGTTCAGATTTCCGGTCAGTCTTAGTAAAGACCCCTTTTATAACATTGATAAAATTTTATCACAGAGCTATGAAAACAAAATTAGATTTCATAACTC
This sequence comes from Homo sapiens, assembly GCF_000001405.40. Classification (NCBI taxonomy): domain Eukaryota; kingdom Metazoa; phylum Chordata; class Mammalia; order Primates; family Hominidae; genus Homo; species Homo sapiens. The sequence continues at coordinate 30,865,529 of NC_000011.10, read as the reverse complement.
ACATCAGGCCTTGAAGGGGATGCCTCTATAAATTTTACAAACCCTATCAAGTTTAATGCACCTATTCTGATAATTTTTTCAATAGCAAATTCTACTGAACTTCATATATACTATGTGTGTATATAAATGTGTGTATGTGTGTGCGTGTGTTCATGTATATACATATATATAGATTTGTTTCTCTCTCTACCTTACAGGAAAGAAAACTTTCTTTACCCACTTATAAACAGAAGACTGTGACAAGAAGGCCAATTATTTCCATCGCTGAAGACTCTAAATTTGGCAAATCTTCTAAATAACAATCCTGCATAGTTTATTAAAAAAAATTAGTCGTAAAATTTATCCTTCAAAAATCTGCATTTTAAATAAACCCTGACAGTGATTTCTCAAGACTGTAAAGATATTAGTCTGAGAATGCAACTCTAACAGACTGCTCTGGGCATCTTTTCTCTTTGCCTTGGCCAGGCCTCTCAGAATTGAGTGAGCGTGTGACTCCATTTGCACAGTGGGACAGATGAGTACAACTGAAATAAAAAGTGGAGGCCTCTGCAAAAAATAAAAAATAAAAAATAAATTTATCCTTCAAAATAACTCAGTTTTTTCAATGGGCCTATTTTGAAGAATGAACATTGAAAAATGAGACAATATATCCATAAATTCATAGTATGACATACCATAATCGAGAGCATTGTTAGCCATAGACATTTTGTATGCCAGTGAAATCTGTATACATTCTCTAAATTTTTCCAGTTTATCGTGTGGCTTATTGGAAAAAAAAAAGCATATACACTGACTGCATGTTTTGTCTCCCCAACTAAATGATAAGTGCCTAGAGGGCAGGAACACCCTTGGTTTTATTTACTTGGGACAGAGCTCTACCCACAAGGGCTCACTGATAAAACTCATCAGTCCCACCCCACAGCAACATGATGGGGACATGAGGTTCAGTTCTTCTACTCTTGGCCTGAGCCGCAAACCAAAATTACAACAGTACAATGGGAATAGAGGATCTGCTTTATAGAATTTCCTTTCAGTCAGCTGCTCAGAAACTACAATCCTCAGAGTGAAATTAAATGGAGTTATACTGGGATAGTCCTCTCTGCTTTTCAGAGGAAAGAAACACTTCTCGAAATTGTGCAAATGAAAGAAATGTCATGGTATAAACTAGACATCTTATATCCTTAAAATATATCTTTGATGATTATACATATTGGTTTCAAATCCCAAGTTTGAAGAAACATCCAAAAGTTATGTGAAATTACTTATAGATGAATTGACAACATTTGAGACTTCGACAGGCAATCATGAAGCAGTTCTCAAGTTGATTTGGTTTATATAGCTCTTTAAGAATCTTTTGGAAAGCCATAATCTCACAAAATACAGATATGCAATTTTTTTTTTTTGAGATGGAGTCTCACTCTGTTGCCCAGTCTGGAGTTCAGTGGCGCGATCTCAGCTCACTACAAGCTCCCCTTCCCAGGTTCAAGCAATTCTCCTGTCTCAGCCTCCTGAGTAGCTGGGACTACAGGCGCCTGCCACCACACCCAGCTAACTTTTGTATTTTTAGTAGAGATGGGGTTTCACCTTGTTGGTCAAGCTGGTCTCAAACTCCTGACCTCAGGTGATCCACTCGCCTCTGCCTCCCAAAGTGCTGGGATTACAGGCGTAAGCCACCACACCCAGCCCAAAAAATGTTTGTGCACAGAACTGTGGATGTTTGTCACAGAACTTTCCAAATAAAGAAGTTCTGATAAAAGAGAAGATATTTCTCATTTCCATAATCTTTAAGGTGTGGGGGATACGTAATCTGGACTTCTCAAATGGATGATTTCTAAATACGCGTCAGATGAAGTGATTCTAACTTTCTCTGTAGTAATATCTTATTTTGTTTTATTCAAAAACAATAAACCATGTAGATTTATTAGCATGTGTGGGTGTGATTTTTGCATCTAGGAATCTTAAGTGGGAAAAGAGAAGGAAATATCAACTTCCTCAAACTGCGTTGTTAATTTTGGTCATTCCTTGGAGAAAACCCTTATTACCTGGAAGGAAAAAAGCTAATTAAGTTGACATGTCTCACAATCACAAAGCCATTTTGCTGGCTCCTGTTACAGGCAGAAGGAATACATACTGCTTTCCTTTTGTCTGTCAGGAGAATAATAGGGAACACTGACAGGCCTGGCAGTTGGGGATTGAAACTCAGCAGAGGAGTGGCCTGTAAACGCACAGAGCCTACCTGGAAATCCCTGCTGTTTGGCCATGGAAAAATGGGGCACCTTGGGTTGGAACCCCCAGCTATTTCCACTGCTACACTTTTAGTGCATTTATCTCTTATCTAAGATGGTGATGTTGCCAAGCGTTCAGATGACTTTCCAATGATTTTATTCCCAAGTCATGTTACAACTGTACTTCTGTTAATTTAGTCACTGTTTACTGTAGTTTTAGTTATAAATCCTGCAAAAAGTGTCTTCTGACTCCTTTTAAGGTATTTAGAAACCTCCTTAAAGCTATTAAATTTTGATATGTAAAAACATATTGGATTATGAATTAATGTCAATGTCATTGGCTAAATTATCAGATTATTAAGAGCACTAGACTAGGAGCCTGAAGATGCCCTTCAAGACCGCTATCCACTGTTTTGTTTCCAGAGCCCAGCATGGTGCCTGGGACACAGTAGGTGCTCGTTAAACCTTTGTTGAGTATCAAATGTAGAGTTGAGTTTCAACTGTAGCTTGATTCTCACCACCCATGGGACATATCTATTTTCTTATCTGTGGAATGAGAATAGTAATATTTCCCTTCAGCCCCAAAAAGTTATTTTTATCATCAGATAAAATGAAGCATGGAAAAGTACTTTTTCTGTGTTTTTAATGAAAGTAGTAGTCTTCAAAATTAGGCATATGTACTGTAGAGGAAGAAAAATAACTTTCTCTCAACCCTTCTGAGTTCTTAGCTGGGACAGACCACTAACAAAAGACAGACTAACAAGAGAAACACAAACAGAAGTTTATTAATGTGTATATCCCATTTATATATGGGAGGTGCCCAGGAAATGAGGAATTCTCAAAGAGGTGGTCTAAGTTTCAGGCTTAAATCCCATCTTTAACTAAAACAAAGAAAGAAGGGTGTGGGGAAGACCAGTTAAAAGGAAATGGCCAGTGTTCTCAGGAGGGGAAGTCTTGCCCAGTAGGTAAGAGCACTGGTGTGAAAGCTAATGAAGGTTAGCTAGGAAACTACCATCTATGGATCAGACATTATGCTAGTACTTTAGATGCATTGACCTGTTTAATCCACACAACTGTTATTAGCTCCACTTTGCATATCTGGAAACTGAGGCCCTGATGTTAAGTAAATTTGCCTCAACTCATGGCTAAGAAAGGGGTTAGAGAAGTATGAGACTAACAGCGTGGACACTAAACCCCTACACTAACCATGGCCCATTTGTTTATTCCAGAAGTGTTTATTGAGCACCTACCATATGCTACGTACTTACTGTATCAAGTTCATTTTGACATTAGCAGATAATATGTCAAGAGAAAGGAAAGTTCATAGAAGAGAAAACAAAAGGAGAAGGTGAATGCAAAGTGCACCCTACTTGTTCCTTTGATTGAACTCAGGAGAAACAACACTTTTTTTTTTTTTTTTTTTTGCTACCACTCTCTGAGCTTCTGGAATCTCTCCGTCTGCTCTCTGTTTGAACTTCAGCAAATATAAAACTTATATTTTCTCTGCTCCTGGAGCTTTCAGAATCCCAAAACATTTGGTTTAGATTAAATCCGTTGACTGAGGCATTATAATTCGGCTTCAACACAGATGATTCCATCAAGCATCGCCTTATCTAACCGAACTGCTTATTACAGTAACAGAGTACACTAGTCAGGGGGCAAGGGCAGGGCCAGGGGGAGAAGGTCATTCAGGTTTAGCAGCCACATGTACACAGCAGGGTGGTGTCCTTTTAGAATCGAGAGGAATGGATTCATAAAATCCAATCGGGAGCATGTGTGTGCATTTATACGAGCCTTTTTTTTTGACTGAATCTAAATTATAGAGATTTTAATAGCTCCAGTAATTAGACAAGTATGCAGTCAACCCCATTATGTTCCTGTGTAATATCACACTCCCTAGGGCCTACCTTTTCTGCTTGCTGGGCTCCCTGCATGGGCCCCCTTCCCCCTTATTTTCTACCATAGGGAAGCGGTTTTCTTTTCAAAGAGCTTACTGTTCACATTGTTTTTATCCCCTCAATCCGGAGGTTGGATTTGCTTTCTCAGGGGTTTCACCATTGCATTGGCTAGTTATGTAAGAAAAGGACAGAGCAGGCTCTTGCAGTTCATTTGCATCCCCACAGTGCCTGGTGCACGCGCTGGGAGCATGGTGGATGTGTTAACTTGAGAAGAGACTTCGCACAATGCCCGGTGCGGTGTAGATATTTCAAAATTGTTTACAACTCAAAACACTTGATGATCAGATTATTGACCTTAAAGGGAGCAGAAGCACATTATTCACTATCTTAAATTAGGAAATCTTTTGTAGAAAACTGCCTTTCTAGCTTCCTGATTGCCTCTCATTAGTTTTTCTCTCTATTTTTTTGTAACTTTCTATTATCCATAGTAATATTTCACTTTGTCAGCAGAGATAATCACCCTGCAGGTGCTGAGGGCTATATCTTGAGATATGTTGGCCATTTTGAATTTTTTTATATTGCTGTTTCTTCTAGAACTAAAAAAAAAAAAACAACTTTGGATGATTTAAAATTAAGGGCAGGATGTGCTGTATTAGTAAAATTATGCAGTTCATCCAATTAAGAGATTGACTTTTCCCATCTGCATGTCCCATACATATTTTCTTAGGGGCTGTCAGAAAGCAGCTTTGGTGCCATTTACTTTTTGTGATTTTTTCATGAAGATATTCTCAAGAATAATTGTAAAAAGATGTGTGGAGTTTAGTTTCTTGAGGTCAGCTTTTCCTATGCAGTCCTTCCCCACCAAAAGGAAAATAATAATCTATAATAAATTAACTATATTTCCTTCACAAGGATCTGAATGTTGTCCCCTAGAAAGCAATTCTAGAAGTCTATGAAGCTGGCCTCCACACTATCTAGAAACAAAAACAATCCCCAAAATAACATAAAATCAAATGTTTAAATCATCCTTGGAATTGAGTTAGTTGTCATTGGCAAACTGATACTCTCTTTTCTCTAGGAAGTGGTGACGGCAACAGTGGTGGGGCAATGGTACTGAGGCTTGGAAGTCAGTGATGTTTCCTAAGACTGTTGTCTAAAAATCTTTTCTACCAAGGGAGTAAAGGGATAACGAGCTGGGATATTTTTGAAGGATACTCACAATTTGCAACACAAATAAAATCTAGTTTAAAAATATGTGTGTTTTTTCAGCTCTAATGACTGAAAATGTTAAACTAAATATTTTGCTTAAACAAGTAAAGATGAAGGGGTTAGATGAGCAAATTAGAATGCAGAAGCTGCCTCTGCTGCCAGTTTTCCCTAGAAGAGAATGGCTAATTCATATGCGATGTATTCTTGTCTCTCCTTGGGAGAAAGAAAGTCTGCCCTGGGAGGAGCCCGGCTGTTCAGCATTTTGCTGCTGGTCAGGATTGATTCCAGATGTGGGAGGTAAATGCTAGAAAGAGTTTGGAAAATGGAGTGGAAATGAAAAATCCCTCAGGCCATTTGAGTGCTGATGACAGATGAGGTAGATATTTTCAGGTAACTAATGAACTTGCTGGGAGCTTGGAGAGTGCTTAGCCCAATAGATATTTAACAGGCAGGAAAGACCCAGCTGAAATACATGGCTGCTCCCATGCACTGTGCACCCAAAACAGGGGGAAACGGGGAGTCCCAAGGGTAACACATAAATATCGAAAGCTAAGACACAGCCAGCTACTCTGTAAATAAGCTGAATTTGCCTTTTCCTGAAGCTAATTCACAATTTATGCGTGGGTTTTTTTTTTTAATTTCTCATTATTTGATTTATCATGACTATTTCATCGTTCGAAGAAATATTTTTAAAAATGTTCCCCACGTGTAAGTCAGTCAGGCAGAAGAAGAGACAGAACAGCACAGTAGTTATAAGCAGAGTTTCTGGAGTGACTCAGACATGGGTTCAAATATTGGCTCTGCCACTTTCTACCTCAATTTTGAGCAAGTCACTCTCAGCCTCAGTTTCTTTATTTATAAAATGAGTAAAATCTTAATATTTATTTTGGATGAGTTGTGAGAATTAAGTGAGATGTTCTATGTAAAGCACTTAGCTCAACAGTCAATTAATGCTCAATAAATATAAAGCTAACATCATAATTTTTGTTATTTCAGGAATGGAGTTTGGGCCAGGAGGTGATACACCATCTCAGCATGAAAACAATTTAGTCTTTTTAGTAGTAGAGATTTTATGATTTATGAGCCATTCATATCATTAACAAGTGCTGCTATTTTCAACTTTAATATTGGTATTTCAGAGTTCTTGGTTGCAAGCAACAGAAATCTATCATTTACAACAAAAGCAACGAGGAGATTACATGAAGCGAAAGAGGGGGCTCACAGAATTGAAGGGATGCCGGAGAACAAGAAGCTGAAGGTAGGAAGCAGAGCAGGAGACACAGAAATCTATGGTACCTGGGGAAGACAGGCAGGTAGGTGAATAACTTCCTGTTATTTAACTTGGTTCCAGACCAGCCCAACATTCAAGGTCTCAGGAGAGAAGATCGTGCCTGACTGACCAGGCTCCATTCACATGCTCAAATCCTGGCTGAGAGGACAGGGAGAGGAAAGATATGTAGAAGATGAGCCCCCAGCATTAATCTCTCACCTCAGTTACAGACACAAGGAGAAACTGGGATACTATAAAGCAGGAAAACGTATGCTGGTAGCCAAAACTCATAAACATCCATCATTACTGATCCAATATTCTATAATGCTTTCCACAGATTTTTGCTTTCTTCTAAGCACATGCTCTTGGGTATAATGATCATGTTGCTCAAGTCACACTCCCAAGTTCTAAGAGCTGAAAAAGACTTAAAGGCAACTACCAGTTTCTCTTGCTTGACTTAGAAAGGGAAAGCAGTGCCTAGACTCCATCTCCAACCGGGTAACAATGGTCTGAGGAGAAAGACTATCTACACACACACACTGAAAGGGCCAGAAAGGTAAAGCCAGCATTGCCACATACAGTGGTGCAGATTGAGAAGGCAAGAGGGGACTGAAATTCAGTGTTCATTCCTCTCATAATGCCTCTGCCCAGAGGAAGAAACTTCTTTTTATAATTTTCACAAGGACACCCCCACATTGTCAAGCCCTGAACACATGATGTTACATCAGCTCAGAAGGGGTGCCATTTTTGAAGTTGGACAAAGTTACTTTATGGGCTAGTGGTGGCCCTTGCTAAATCCCACACTCCCCAGAAGGGAGGGAGAAAACAAATGAAACAGGGATGGCTGCCTCCCTCCTTTTCTTCCTTTTGGCATTTTTTATTGTCTTTTTCTTCTTCTTTCTCCTTGAATCAGAAAATCTCAACATTGAAGGAGCCTTGGACAACCACCTAATCCTATATTCATTGAATAGTTGAACTGTATCCACCCGGCGTAATACCCATGGCAACTGGTCTTCCACATGTAAGCATCTCCATGGACAGGAAATTTGCCACCTTACCACATAGCCCTTCTCCCTTCTGATAGTTCTGAGGAAAATTCTTTCTTACATCGACCTGAGATATAGGTACCTGTAATTTCTATTCTCTCTGATTAGTTCTTTATCTGTGGCTGCAATGAGCAAGCCTGACCCTTCTTACAAATGAGAGGCCTGTCAATAGTTGAAGTCCAATGTGATGCTTCTCCAAGGCTGTAACTTTCACACTCAGTCCTTGGGCAACATGATTTCATGATACATCTGGTGAAAACTTCTTTAATTTCTCTCTCATTCATATTATATAGCCTTCTTACAATGTGTCATCCAGAACTAAATGTAGCAGCCAAACATCTCCAAATGAAGCTTACTAGAATAATAAATATTAATAATTATAAAAATCATAATAAAAATAGCTGCCTCAACTAAATTAAAAACTTGCTATATGCCAGGCATTGTGATAAACACTTTACTTACGATATTTAATCATCATAACAACCCTTTCAGAGATTCTGTCATTTTTTCCTTTTATAGATGATGAAATAGCCTCTGAGAGGTTAAGTCACTCACCCAAAATTTCCACTGCCAGGAAGTGGTAGTGATGGGATTCAAACCTGGGTGGCCCTGAGACCAGAGCTTCCGCTCTACCCACTTCACTATACTTCTCTTACTACAGGTAAAAACCACATCAACTCTGTTCTTTTTTGCCATTTCTCCTGAGTGCTCACCAAGATTTTACCAACCTTTAGCAAATTATCTGATATCATTCAGTGCCAAGATTCTCATTCTGGTAGTCATTTGCATGAAACATTTTTCGATAGAGATTATACTGCCGGGTTCCATATACTGAGATATACATATACTGAGAGGAAGGGTATATCAAAAGTAGGTTGTGGAAGAGTAGGAAGCATTGCACCTAAACTTCCATGATTAACTCCATGTGTTTTACTCAAAGCATCAGGTTGCTCTTTAGACTTCTTGGTTGCTTTGGAAATTTTGATGGTGCTTTTTGGAGAGTGGCTTGGGAAGCCAAAAAAGAGTTGAGGGCAATTACTGCTTTAACCAAAACAATAGAACAGCAGGAAGTTCAGTGCAGTCCCCTAGCTTCTCCCCTTCTTTACTCATTTAATACTGGAGAAGTCTGTGAATTATGGTATACACTGAATTTCCAACTTCGTGGACATTGGCCCTTTTCATTATCTTAAGCTCTTTTCATTGCTCCGTTTCTGGGCCTTATGGGAAATGATTCAAGCACTCCATGGAAGATGATCAATTCTCAAGCTAACCCCAGGCAAGTATGAAGAATTCTCCCAAAATCACATGATAGCAAGCTGATAAGATTTCTCTCATCTTCAGTCAGTGAGAAGACCAAACTGCTTCAACAAGTTTGCTTCCTCAGGGATGGGTGTGGTGGCTCACTCCTGTAATCCCAGCACTTTGGGAGGCCCAGGCAAAAACATCACTTGAGCCCAGGAGTTCGAGACCAGCTTGGGCAACAGAGTGAAACCCCATCTCAAAAAGAAAAGAAAAAGAAAAAAAAAACAGTTTACTTCCATAGCTGCTACAGCTCTCCTAACAGTCCTAGAACTCTGGAAAGTCAGTAATCACCATAACTGAGTTCACTCTGCCCTTTAGTAACAGCATAATTAATTCTGTTAGGATTACGTCAATGAAAACATGTGTAAAACGGTGTCATAATACTAACTGTAAAATTCAGTGGCAAAATCCAGAGTGTTCTGAAGTAGCAGATCTCTGCTTCTTTAGGGCAAGAGTTCTCTTTAGTTTTGCCCATTCTTTTATCTCGGTCCCTAGCTTAGTGCTCAGCACATGGTAAACAGTCAATAACTACTTTTTGAACATCAGCTTTAACCTAACATAGAGGTGCCTTAAAAATGCCTAATCCTTCAAGAGGTTGTGAAACATCATGTATCTTTAAAATTGTCAGCTACTTTGAATTGTGAAGTCTTGTTTTTCTATTTGCTCCACACCTTAACCCCCTTAGATAAAATAGGCTACTTTTATTTTTCACCAGTTTGTCTTTCCACTACTGTCAATGGTAACTCAAACCTAAACCCTTTGATGGAGATATTTTCTTGTTTTAAATCGCCGCAGATGAAATGTTTAAAAGGAATTCCAAATTTTGGTCTCTTTCAAACTGACTCTGTGCTGAATATGTAACGTTACCTTTTAAATTTAGAGATTTTACTGGCTAAGATTTGTCACTTGGACCTCAAATTTTAGGAAGAAAATGCTAGATTATAATTCAAAAGATCAGTTTTACATTTTGTATGTAATATAGCCCACTAGGTGGCATATGAACACATGGAAAACTCGGTCTATGTATTAAAGATGAATCCAGTCTACTGTTTTAAAAATAGGTTTTAAATCCCGTTGAACTATGTGGTTGTAATAGTATTGAAACTCTTAGCATTTGTGAACTGGAAAATTTGGTGGTGACAGAACTGTGTTTCTGTATTAGATAAGAGATGTTCTAATAGAATCCTGCTGCTCCTTTTGATGGAATACCGTTCTGAAATTGCATCCAAGGATGAAAAAGTTGGTACCGTGGCACCCTGTCAAGTAGCTCCTGTTGCTGTGAGGTGTGATTAAAAGACACATAAGCCAGCAGAAAATGTGACACAAAGGGCATCTATATAAAAAATTAACAGACTACGTGATATCATTTAGGCCAGATTTAGAATCACAATAAAGACCTTGTTTTAGTCTGTTTTGTGCTACTATCACAGAATACCACAGACTGGGTAATTTATAATGAACAGAAATTTATTGGCTCACAGTTCTGGAAGCTGAAAAGTTGAGTATCAAGGTGATGGCACCTAACAAGTGTCTTCTGGCCGCATCATCACATGGCAGAAGGCGAGAGGGTGAGAGACGGAGCAAGAGGAGGCTAAAGGCACCCTTCCTAACAGTACCAATCCCACCATGGAGGTGGAGCCCTCATGGCCCTCAGCCCCCAGTACTGTTATGATAACAATTAAAATGTCAACATGAGTTTTGAAGGAGACAAACATTCAAACCATGGCAGCCCTCTTCCAGCATTCAGCATTTCTGGGCTAAGGAAATGGAAGCAGTTTGGATGAGGAAAGGAAGGCTTCCAGAAGAATCCCTCCTCCAGTGGGAGCAGAGCTGTGCCTGTTAAATGACATAGGTTTCTCCTTGACCAAACTCTACTCAGGCTCTTCTGAACTCTTTTTTTCAACTAGTCCTCTACTTTTGGACTTCTGTGTTCATCTTGGCATTGTCTAGCTCTAGCAAGAACACTGCTGGCCGAGCACGGTGGCTCACGCCTGTAATCCCAGCACTTTGGGACGCCGAGGAGGGCGGATCACAAGGTCAGGAGATCGAGACCATCCTGGCTAACACGGTAAAACCCCGTCTCTACTAAAAATACAAAAAAATTAGCCAGGCTCAATGGCGGGCACCTGTAGTCCCAGCTACTCGGGAGGCTGAGGCAGGATAATGGCGTGAACCCGGGAGGCAGAGCTTGCAGTGAGCCAAGGTCACGCCACTGCACTCCAGCCTGGGTGACAGAGCGAGGCTCTGTCTCAAAAAAAAAAAAAAAAGAACACTGCTAAGTCAGTTCAGCTATCCTCCATCTTTGATCACCTTTAATATCTAATCAGGTTCTTCATGCTCCACCATCCCTCAGGTGATGTCACCCTGGCCTGCCTTCAGCAAGAACCCCATTAGGTTGCTTTAGCTGCTATCGCCCTCTTATCCCTAATGTTTCCTCTTACCAGTTTTCACACTGAGCCTCTCTACCCCCCACAACTCTGCTTCTTGACTATAAATTTCCACTTTTCCTTGTTGTACTCAGAGTTGAGGCTACTGGGCTCAGAAAAAAATACCCCAGAGTATGGTGCTTTGACATGCTGGGGACTTTGATCTAAAGAAGCAGCATCAGAAACAAAGTCTCTCTGATCTCCCTCTCCCCTCAGTCCTGTTTCTCTCCTGAAGTGCAAGAAGGGGTTTTCTCTGAGTTTTTCCTCATCTGATTAAGAGAATTCCGTCCAGAAGGGCATGCAATTTTTGTAAACTCTTTCCCTGGAAACTACATTAACCAGAGAAGATTAATTCCTATGCAGGAGAGGAGACTAAAGGCCTCCAGGACCAGGATACACTGCCAGATAGACTTTTCACCTATTCTTCTGAGGGTAGTAACCCTCAGAAGGCTTTATCTGCATAATAAGACAACCTTTGTTTGCAATGCAGTTTCTCCCCTCACCCTCCTGTAGCTTGGCACCACTACCCTCCAGGAGCCTCTTTCTATAGCTCAAACTGCTATTTAAGCTTCAACCATCTGGCCCTTCTTTGAGTATCATATTTTGTATGGCTCCCATGCACATGTGCACATAATACATTTGTATTCCTTTTCTCCTGTTAATCTGTTTACTGTCAGTTTATTTCATAGACTCAAATTACCAAACCTTCAGAGGGAAAAAGGAAAAAGCTCCTTTCACCCCTACAGGTACAGTCACCTCTCTCCTGCACTGCAAAACCCCATCTCAGTTGTCCTACTCCTATTGCAATGGTCCTGAATAAAGTCAGTCTCACTGCCCTTTAACAAGCATCATGAATAATTTTTTCTTTAACACAACCTCTCAGCTGTGGCCCTTGTTCTGTTTAGATAACTAGCAATTTGGCCAAGAGTACATTTGAAGACCTCCTGCCATCTTTCGAACTTAATAAAAATAGCTTTAATAGCTACATGCTTTATGAAATAATATTTACCATCTTTGTTTAAAAATGTTCCGTTCTTTCAACATTTTACTCTAAGATCCTAGATCTTTAGAAAGTTTTTCTTGACTTTCTAGGCCTGGGTAAGTTACCCCCTGCGATGTGCTCCTATAACATCCTATGTTTCTGCTGTTATTGCCTCAATTACACAGGACCGTAACTACCTGTTTAAGACCTGTCTCCCCCTCTAGACTGAAAGCTCATTGAGGGTAGAGAACCTGGCTGCCCTGCTCACCACTATTTCCTCAGGGGGATGCATAGCAGTTCCTAGCACTAAAAAGGTATTTGCTGATTAAACAAAAATGACTTCCGAAGAAAGTGCATATATTGACCTCTAAATTAAAAGTCTTAAAATGTTTGCAAGGGATTCTCCATAACATAAAATTCAAAGTTATTCCCTTCCTTATATTCTCAGATTCCAGCCTCTATTTTTATGATGGTTCTGGCCTTCTGCTTTAAGTCACCACCAGAGCAAATAGCATCCAAAAACCGCCACCCAGAAATAACTTTGGGCTGTGCAAGCCAAATCAGAAGTATTCAATTAAATTAACATTTATTGACCACCAGTAAACATGAGAACCAAACTGTACAGAAAATATTTGGTATTTTATCCTCACCAGGGATGTTCCCCAGTGCATTATAATGTATCAAAATGTCTTATCATTTTTCTTTAATTAGATACCCTTGGATGGATGTACAAGAAACAGTGTACATTATGCAACAAAGTTTTTCTTAATTTTTGTCAAAGACAACCTTGCAAACAGGACTGGAGCTTCTAGCAGCTTCTGGCAAGGAAATTTTATAAATGAGAATTTGTAGCAGAGGTCACGAGTTTAGTCTCTGACATTGTATCAACTGGATTGGCATCCCAGCTCTACCACTTCCTGTCTTGAGACCTTGAGTACTTTATTTAACCTCTTATGAAGCTATAATTTTAAAAGGGTAAAAATAGCATTTATCTTATGGGGTTATTGGGAAGATTAAATGAAATAACATGCATAAGCTCTTAGCATAGTGGCTGGCCCATAGCAAGAGGTCAATAAACATTAGATATTATTATCATTATTATTTATCAGAATGGCTTTTCTTAGAAGCCTTTTGTAGTCAAAGACAGCCAAAATGAATATTCCATAGATTCTCTCATATATCTTTTGGTTCTGTCCATTAGACCCTGATATTGTTGCTGCAAATAAGTATACATGTGCCCCAAGAATATGCTAGGTTTTTGTATTGAAATCAGGAGCCACTGATAATCATCCGCCTCCTTTTCCTTTTTGGAATAACTTTTTCTCTCTATTATTCCCAAGATTAGGTGCTTCCCTCTATTTATTTAGTTATTCATCTGTCCAACAGACATTGATTGCTAAGTAGTAGGTTTTGTGAATGCATAAATTCTACTTCAGATAATCTGCAGTGTAGAGGGAAAAGTGAAACATGCACATACACATAACTTTAAAAGGTAGAAAGTGATGAGAGTCAGAGGGAAGAGACATAGCACAGTGGAATTCAGAGTGGGGAGTCGCTGCTGTACTATTTCAGGACTCACATTGTGTGCCCATATAGACAGAGAGATGCTAGAGAGGATACAAGAAAAATGGAAGCCACTGTTCTTGTGCTTGTTGGGGCTCGGAAAACAATATCCCGAAATGAAGGCCTCAGAAGCAAGTGTTTTTTTGACCTTCTCCTTCCCTCTTGTCTCTCAGTCCCATTCTCCCCTGAGGCTAGCTTTAGCCAAAGAAACTACAAATCCCTTTTCCCCAAGGTGGGACATAGAAACTAGAACCTCTTTGCCCACAAGCCCTTCATAAAACCTAAAAGTATTGCTCTAATTTTCCCTCTGCCTTTCAAAGTAAAAACTGCCCTAAAATAAATTATCTGACCTACCTTGTTTGACTGTAGTTCATAAGACTCCCCATTCTTGAGAAGGGCCTGCCCCACACCCAGAAGGAAGGAAAGCTGCACAAAGAAGCCAAGAAGGACCTAGACAGACCAGCCTCACTGGGTAACCCCACTTAGTCCACTAGCATTAGGTCATATCCTTTTTGTCTAATCATATTTCTACACAGCTGTTCATACTTTGTTAACCTAAGCATAAAAATGGACACTGTTCTCCTGTATCTGTCGGTCTTCATTCTGAATGCTCCTGTGTATGCACATTTAATAAATGTTTATGTATTTTCTCCAATTAATCTGCTTTTTGTGAGTTGATTTTTCAGCAAACCTTCAGAAGGCCAAGGGGAAAGCTCTCCCTTGTCCCCTACATGCTTAAGGTGTTTGGAAACTTGGAGGGAGACAAAACTCAAACCATGAGTGATTTCGGTCTATATCCCAGCGATTGCCCTGCCTGGCCCTCAACAGACCTTCTAGTTGGAGAAGGAAATATCCTGAAGAATATTTGTGAAAATGAAAACAAAAACACCAAGGCACCAATTTCATGCCTGGACGAGGATGTCTTGAGCTGAAGGAAGAAAATGAAAGCAACAGTTACGGCCTTATCACTATGAACAAGAAAGTCTTATAAGGGTGGAAACATTTTGCTTTATTTTTTTTGTCCCCATAGCACTTGGCTTCAAAGAACAAAAGATGGTGTTCACCAAGCAGACAACTTACCAAAGCCATTTTTTGAAATGATGCCCAATAATCAATATTAATTCAGTTTATATCAATGCATATTTATTAAATTCCTGGCATGATCAAGACATAGTGTTAGATGCTAGGGTAACACACAGACATAATGAAGACATATGATCTCTGCCTGCTCAACCCCAGGACACGACACTGAAGTCAAGTGGGTCAGATGAGATGAGATGGGCACAAATATCCATGCTACAAGGTTTAGTGTGGCAAGTCCTACAGGAGTAATATTAAGAAAAGAGCTGTGGAAGTACATAAAGCAGAGGGAAAGGATTTCTGTCTGGGTTACTGAGGAAGGCTTCATGGAGACAGTAGCGTTCCAACCAGGCCTTGAAGGATGGATGAGATATCAGAAGACTGTGTTGTAAGGAAGATCAATTTACGTGAAGGATGAATTTAAGCAGAGGTGTAGGCAGGGGATTGTCGAATGAATTGTAATATGGTCGAGTTAGAGAAGTGCTTTCCAATCTTTATGAAACCACAGGACCCTTCTTGAAGTGAGATTCTGCAGTGACCCACACTGTGCTTAGAACAGAGCTCTAGTCTAAAATCCTGGTTGCACTAGAAATTCACAAAGCCTGGTTTAATCCCCAGGGTTGAAAACCAGAGAATAGAAAGTCATCCTGGAAAGGCAGGGTGCAGCCTGCTTTGCATATCCAAGAGTAACTGTGGCCCCAGGGACAACCAGGAGCTTTGGGAGGTTTCTGAGCAGAGAAGTGACAAGATGAGCTATACTTTATGAGACTCCTCTGGCAATGATACATAAGATGGGTCAGAACAGGGGAAAACAACTTTATCTTGAAGCAATATAGGTTTATAGAAATTTAATAAGAAAATTATATATCATAATGAATCCCAAGAGCTATAAAAAGTGACCAAATCCACTGCCACAGTCCTGCAGAGGTTCTTTGTGACAGCCTTAGCTGCTAAGAAATTACCTCAGGCTGCAGCAGAGGAAAGAGTGCAGATTTTGTATTTCTAGAAACTAAGGTTGATGATGATATGGTTGAAGGCATGGGTTTTGAACTCACACAGACCTGTGTTTGAATTCCAGCTTTTAACAAAATTTCTTAAGCCCAAATGTCAATTCTCTCACCTGCAAAATCAAGATCGTATCAGCTTTGTAAGATTATTGTAGGGATTAAGTGAAGTCATTTATTTAAAGTGTTGAGCATAATGCTTAGCAATAGTTAGCACTCAAAACATAATTATTCTCCAAGACAAATTAAGTTACCACATTAAGAAGAGTGGGTGCCAGGTAGAATAGCAGAATCATTTACACTGATGTGGTTGCTGGGTTTCCCTTTGCTGATGCAAGCCTAGCCCTGTGCTGGATACTTTCTTCTCTTTGTTGAGCAGGGTTTCCACCAGCAAAGGCCTATTCCAAGGGCCCCAAAGACATTACTCACTTTCATTCCCACCCTCATTTAGTGGAGAGGCTCCTGTCTCTCATGTGTTGATCTGCACAACTAGTTTAGCAAGTTGAGCCTACAACAGAATTCCTAAGCAACAAAAGAGAGAAATGATTTTGTCCATACTATCAAGAAGCATGCTTTGTGGTTACTGTTAAGATAGATTGTGCAGCAAATTGGTGAAGGCCACATGGTGTGTCAGGGTGTATGTGCAGTAATTGAAAAGTATTGCTTGCACACTTTCAGAATCCGGGAAATCTCCTAGCAGACAATGGCATCAAGGAATAAACTGTATCATAAAGGATGGATTTTAGCTGCATCCAGGACAAATGTCGCACACATGCCTGGGGGGGGCGGGTCTAGGAAGGGCTGATGTTCCTGTTTTCCATGAGGCAGAGAGAAGTAAGGAACTTTGTCAAAAACAGCCTCTGTGCTCTCATTTCCTATTTTTAATTTGGCTCATCATTTTAAGCTTCCTCAGATGCCCACCTGGAGAGTCATGGCACGCTCTCACTCTGGTGCTTCCCAAATGTGTCCAGAATCTTCATCAATCTCTCTTGCTAATCCTCACTCCCAAGGCTTAAATCACCCATTTCCTCCAAAGTCTCTCATCTAGCTGGCAGTTGCACCACATTTCCACAATCACTAAATGCAGAAGGCTGAGTGAAGACTTTGTTTGCCTTATGAATTTGTTCTTTGGTGTCCTTGGCTTGGGTCTGAGTGGATGAGCTTTGATTAGATTTCAGAACTGAGATTGAGTTCCTATGGACTCTATTGGGAGCCAGAAGAAGAATGAAGTGACAGAGGGACTGCTGATCTTTGACCTTGGCCCATTGATGGCTCTTGTCATCACTGTTGGTGGCTGCTCTGAACAAAAAATGCATTGTCTCCCCAGCTATTGTGGCCTGGCCTTCACAGTCTGTCTTCGCAGGATGTAACGTTTAATCAGGGATGTGTTCTTCTACCTAGGGCAAAAGGTGGGTGAGGAAGGCAGATCAAGCAAGTTAGCAGTACTCCACAGACTCAGAACTTGAGAAGGAAACATTAGGGAACATGATAATGTTAATAGGAATGAGTTAAAAATTAATATTCACTGCAGTTGCAATATATTAGACATTTACATTGGTTATTTCACTTAATCCTCTCAACTACCCTGGGAAGTTGGTACTCTCTCACTTTTTAGATTAAAAAATCTGATGTTTCATCCTTTTCTCTTTAACATAGGAAACAAACTAGGTAGATCTATGATTCTATGATTTGATCCCAGGCATTGAATCCAGAGTGTGGGAATATAACTACTACTTGGCATTACTCTCATGAATCAGGAGGGCAGTTGAAAACTAAAGTGTCTTTAGAAGCTCTCCTAACTCCTCTGGAATCAGGAAGTCAAAAGCATTCTCTGCGAAAAGTTTCTTACGTTCCTTTCCCACTGTCTACATAGTCACCATCTTTCAAGGCTGTGGTCAGGACCCACTTCTCCGTAACTTCTTCCTTGAGAGATTTTCTGGACTCTCATAACAATATCTCACCCAAATTAGCTCAGGAATTCCTCAAAGCAAAGATATTGATTAAATTAATTAAAAGTTGAGCTTAGAGAGGGTTCAGCCAAGATCATATTTCTAGCAAGTAACTGAGCCTGGATTTGAAACCAAGGTATCTGACTCATAGTCAGTGTGCTTTATCTCTACATTACATTGCCTTCTCTTATTAAAGGCTGGATGATATACTTTATCAAGTAATCTATACTTTTTGCTTTCTTTTCTACATGCCCACGTAAGAAAAGAAAAATAATTTTTTTCTTCAACCATCACAGGTTCTTTGTTCCAATGGATCCCTATAATGAAAGACAATTAACAAGAGAAAACAAACAGATGTTTATTAATATGTATATTTCATATCTCACAGGAGAAACCTAGAAAATCAGTAGTTCTCAAAGAGGTGGAATCGAATTCCAGCTTATATAGCATTGTTGGAAACAAGTGCTCAGTGTAGCCAAAAGAAACCCGCATTCAGACAGAAAATTTCTCAGCAAGGCAACTTTACTTCTGCAGAAGGGTACTACTTGCACCTGATGCAATCACAAGAGCACACTGAACAAAGGAGGAAGGAGCTTTTAACCCTAGTGCAGTTCCTGTTTCTGTGTCCTTTGCCTATTGGCTGGGGTTGGACCACACAATCTAAGCTGATCCTGATTGGCTGAGACTTAAACTTTTCCAAATAAGGTAAACATGTGATTTGTGAAAAGAAGAAGGTGGGGAAGAAAGTGGGTAGGGCTGATTTACAACTTTTGCAACTTATGACCAGGAGGTTGAGTCTTTGAGGAGAAACTTAGTTGTCCCAACAACATCTTCAACAAAGAACAGTACATTTTAGAGAAGTGACAAGACAAAGGAAAAGAACTTTGAGTCTCCCAGGAGCAGCAAGTTGTGAGAAGGCAAAACAATGGCAGATAAAGGCTGGTTAGTGAAACTTATGCATGAAAATTCTTCCAGTACCATCTCTAGACAATCAGGGTCAAAAGTTGTCTTTAGTGGTTAACCTTTGTTCTACTTGGAGAAAGAGGGGTGGGATGCCTTTTGTCCTTATAAATCTATGTCCTGCTTTAAGACAAAGAGAGGAAGAGTAGAGAGCTTTCCTGCATTTGCTTCCCTTAATTGTCTTTAGCTCAGTAATACTTCATATTTGGGGGTGGCACAATCTGGCCTCCCACACCCAAAATACATGACCTAGGCTCTCTAAAAGAATCAGAGGTATTAGTCTTGCTCTCAGAGAGCATGCATTCTAGTTAGAATAACTTTTGTCTGTCTCGTTTGTGCAAATAAACTATCATCACACTTGAAATTTGGAACAAACTACAGGGAAAGGGAATATATATATACTAGCTAGCAATGGCTTTGGGGAAAAGAAGTATCTTGTTATGACCTGTTCTCTGATAGTAGTTGTCTTTTCTCCTCAGTTAATTATTTTTTTGTTTGTTTTTTTTCTTTTAGATTATTTGATTTTCAATGCTGTAGAAGATCAAAGAAAAATAACGATTTTATGTTCAAAGTGAGAAAACATGTCACATTTTTCTTTGATTAGTGCCTAGGGCAGTGTTTTGTTTTCTTTAAGTCACATCAAGTCTGATTCCAGACCTGATGGATTCAGTCTGAAACAGACTTGAAAAAGTTCAAGTCTGGTTTTTTCACCACTTTGAAGTGGTGAAAAAATTCAATATTGGCAATTACTAGAGTCCTTTATCCCTTCAAAGTAACATCCTACATGGGAGATGATATAGTTTGGATATTTGTCCCCATCCAAATGTCATGTTGAAATGCAATCACCAATGTTGGAGGTGGGGTCTGGTGGGAGGTGTTTGGATTATGGGGGTAGATACCTCATGAATGGCTTGGGCCAT
This sequence comes from Homo sapiens, assembly GCF_000001405.40. NCBI lineage: Eukaryota > Metazoa > Chordata > Mammalia > Primates > Hominidae > Homo > Homo sapiens. Next base: position 30,845,695 of record NC_000011.10, on the reverse strand, counting down.
CCCCTTGGTGATAAGTGAGCTCTTCCTCTGGGTTTACATGAGATCTGTTCATTTAAAAGTGTGTGGCACCCCTCTGACTCCCCGCACACACACCCACTCTCTCTCTTTCTTCCTACTATTCTTGCCATGTGATGTGCCTGATCCTCCTTTGTCTTCCACCATAATTGGAAGCTTCCTGAGGCCTCCCCAGAAGCAGATACTGCTATGCTTCCTGTTCAGCTTATAGAACAATGAGCCAATAATTAAATCTCTTTTCTAATGAATTACCTAGTCTCAGATATTTCTTTATAGCAGTGAAAGAACAACCTAATATAGAAAATTAGTGCTGAGGAGTGGGGCATTACTACAAAGAAACCAGAAAATGTGGAAGCATCTTTGAAAGTGGGTAACAGGCAGAGTTTAGATGAGCTTGGAAGGCTCAAAAGGAAGGAAGATGAGGGAATGTTTGAAATTTCTTAGAGACTGGTTAAGTGGTTGTGAGCAAAATGCTGATAGTGACAGTGAAGGCCAGGCTGCCAAGGTCTCAGATGAAAATGAGAGACTTATTGGAAACTGCAGCAAAGGTCATGCATGTCATGCCTTAGCAAAGAATTTAGCTGTGTTGTGCTTCTGCCCTAGGGATCTGTGGAAATTTGAACTTCGTAGTGATGATTTAGGGTATCTGGCAGAATAAATTTTTAAGCAGCAAAGCATTCATGAGGTAGCCTGGCTGCTTCTAACAACCTACACTCTCAGATGCAGGAGGAAAGAAATAACTTAAGTTGGCACTTCTATTTAAAAGGGAAGCAGATTAAAAAGTTTGGAAAATTTGCAGCCTGGCCATGTGGCAGGGACACACAAAAATAGCTTTTTTTGTTGGGGGAGGAGAAGAATTCCAACAGGCTGTGGAGCAACCACTTGCTAGAGAATTTGCAAAACTAAAAGTGAGCCAATATCCAAGACCATGGAGAAAAGGCCTCGAAGGCATTTCAGAGACCTTTGAAGCAGCCTCTCCCATCACAGGCCCAGAGGCCTAGCAAGGAAGAATGGTTTCATGGGCCAGGCCCAGAGCTCCACTACCCTGTACATCCTCCAGACACTGCTTCCCACATCCCAGCCACACTGGCTCCAGCCAGGGCTCAAAGTGGCTCAGGTACAGCTCAAGCTGCCACTTTGAAGAATGCAAGCCACAAGCCTTGTCTACTTTCATGCAGTGTTAAGCCTGTGAGTGCACAGAGTGCCAGAGTTAAAGATACTTGGGAGCCTCTGCCTAGATTTCAGAGGCTACATGAGAAAGCTGGGTTGCCCAGGCAGAAAGCTTATGCAGGGGCAGAGCCCTCACAGAGAATCTGTACTAGGGGAGTGTAGAGGGGAAATGTGGGGTTAGAAACCCTACAAAGAGTCCCCACCAGGGCACTGCCTAGTGGAGCTGTGGGAAGGGGGCCACTGTCCTCCAGACCCAAGAATGATAGATCCACCTGCAGCCTACACCTTGTGCCTGGAAAAGCTGCAGGCACTCAATGCCAGCCCATGAGGACAGCTGCAGTGGCTGAACTCTGCAAAGCCACAGGGGTGGAGCCACCTAAGATCTTGGGAGTCCATCCCTTGCACCAGTGTGCCTTGTATGTGGGACATGGTGTCAAAAGAGATTATTCTGTAGCTTTAAGGTTTAATGTCTGCCCTGCTGCGTTTTGAATTTGCATGGGGCCTATAGTCCCTTTCTTTTGGCTGATGTCTCTCTTTTGAAATGGGAATGTTTATTCAATGCCTATACCCCCACTGTATCTTGGAAGTAAATAACTTGTTTTTGATTTTACAAGCTCCTAAGTGGAAGAGACTTGCCTTGTCTCAGATGAGACTTTGGACTTTTGAGTTAACACTGGAATGAGTTAAGACTTTGGGGGATTATTGGGAAGGCATGATTGTATTTTACAGTGTGAGAAGGACATGAAATTTGCAGGTGCACAAGGGTGGAATGATATAGTTTGGATATTTATCCCGCCCAAATCTCATGTTGAAATTTTATCCTCAATGTTGGTGGTGGGGCCTGGTGGGAGGTGTTTTCGTTATGGGGGCAGATCCCTCATGAATGGCTTGGATCATCCCCTTGTGATAAGTGAGCTCTCATTCTGAGTTCACATGAGATCTGTTCATTTGAAAGCGTGCAGCATCTCCCCCTGACTCTCTTGCTCCTGTTCTTGCCATGTGATGTGCCTGCTTCCCCTTTGCTTTCCACCATGACTAGATGCTTCCTGAGGCCTCTCCAGAAGCAGATGCTGCTATGCTTCCTGTACAGCCTGGAGAACTATGAGCCAATTAAATCTTTTTATATATATAAATTACCCAGTCTCAGGTATTTATAGCAGTGCAAGAATGGCCTAATACAGAAGGCTTCCATGATATGGAAAATAGCAGAAGGATGGGAGGAAAAGGGATTGAAGAATTTCTGGCTTCTGACATAAAGCCAGTATAAACCTTGTATAATAATACCTCCAGCATGTAAACTAGAAAAATAAGTAAAAGTGAACTTTGAAAAGAAATGTTATAGGAATATATGCATTTCTAGGTCTTGGATCTGGTTACAAGTGGGAGAAATGTCTCTCCTATGAATCTACAACCATAAGCCCACATTCTATCAGGTTTGGGCCTGAAACATCACAATTAATTTAATAACTTATTTATTTAAATTAATAAATAATTTAAAGTGGTCTCAGGTAACAATACCCAAAGCTGTCTGGCAAAAACAATGGAAATATTATTTGGAGGATTAGACTTCAAAATCAGGCTTCAGAGGATTACCATGGATAATAGTTCTAAGGAACATGAGCAAACAATAAAAGATGACTGAATGCATGACTAAACAAACCACTATTATTAAAAATCAGTAGAAACAACAAACTATAGAATCTAAACTGCCAAAACTACAGATGTTGGGGTTATCTGACGCAGAATATAAAATGATATCATTTAATATGTTTAAAAAATAAAAGAGTATAGTAATTTTGAAGAATGCAAAGAGATGGAAACAGTGAGAGAAATTGAAAAGACATGGAAGACAGATTGTAAGAGTTCAATAAATGTCTAGTGTAGTTCCAGAATTGCTAATAGAGAGAATTGGAGACAGCTAATATTCAATAAAATAATAGCTGATATTATTTTTCTAGAATTTATGAAAGATACCAATAATCAAATTCAGAAAGTCAAGTGGACTTTGTATTGAAACTTCAGAATACCCAAGACAAAGTGAATACCTTAAAACTATCTAGAAAGAAAAGACAACTACAAAGACACAACCACTAGAAATGACAGCACAGTTCTTAGAAGTGACAGCAGAAATCAGAAGACAGAAAATCAATATTACCAAAATGCTGAAAGACAACCATGTTATTCTAGAATTCTATAACTTCTACAATTTTATTTCAAAAATGAAGGTTATGTACAAACATTTTCAGGTAAATAAAAGCAGTGCATGCCACCCAATAGATGCTCTCTCACTAATAGAGACTCCTACAGGACTTCTGAGAGAGTAAATATAATCCTAAAAGGAAAGTTTATGATGTTAGAAGTAATTGTTAGCAAAGAAAATATACAAATATGGGAAAATTGAAAGAAACATTGATGTATAAAGTAATAATAATGTTTAATATGTCGGGCAAAACAAAATAAAGATAAAATGAAAACCCTGGAAAGTAGCACTTAAGTCAGGAGGGAGATGAATGGAGTTAATGTAGTTTTCTAAGTTCTCTCAAAATGATCCAAAAAGGGGAAATATATTGATTTTTTAAAATTATTTTGAAACATACAGAAAAGTTGTAAGGACACCATAAGTAACTTTTTTTCCCTGAACCATTCGAAAGTAAGTTGCAGACTGGATGTCCTATGACCCATGAATAATTAGGTGTGTGATTCCTACAAACAAGAATATAAATGAACATCAATGCATTACTATATTTAATCCTTACACCTATTCAAATTTTGCCAATTGCCCTAATAATATTCTTTATAGCAAAAGGATTCTGCTCACAATCATATGCTGCATTTAGTTGTCACATCTCTTTAAGTTAATATATTTTTTCTCCCTGATTTTCGTGGCCTTGACACTTGAAAATTATAGGCTGGTTATTTTGTAGAATGTCCCTCATTTGGATTTATCTGATGTTTTCTCATGATTTAAATTAATGCATGTTTGGTAGAAATAGCATAGACAAACTACTGTGTTCTCATTGTATCCTGTTAAGTGGCTGTCCCTTTCTGAAGATGCTAAATCTGACCCCTTGGTTGAGGTGATATCAGCCTGGCTTTTCCACCCACTATGGAAAAGCTATTCTTTTTTTTTTTCCTTCGTAGTTAATTAGTACTTGATAGAATGTATAATAAAACCATGAAAATAGCTCATTCCTCATCAAATTTTCATGCATGTATGTAAATAAGTTTCCTGACTCAATAATTTTCAACTTTACAATGGTGGGAAAACAATGTACATTTAATAGATACTGTATTTTGAGTACCCATATAACCATTCTGTTTTTCATCTTCAGTATAGTATTCAATAAATAATGTGAGATAGCTGATACTTTATTATAAAATAGGCTATCTATTGGGTGATTTTGCCAAATTGTAGGCCAATATAAGTGGACTGAGCACATTTAAGGTAGGCTAGGCTAAGCTATGATGTTCAAGAGTTTGGGTGCATTAAATGAATTTTCAACTTACAGTATTTTCAATTTACGGTAGGATTATTGGGGTGTAGCCCTATCATAAATTGAGGAGCATCTGTATTTCATTTTGACTCATGTCTATTTTATTAAATGGGTTATAATCCATTATTCCCCTTACTTAATTTGATGCTCAAATTGTCCTTGGTTTTATCAATGAGAGTTCCATCAGGTGCACTTCTGTGTTATTTTGAATGTCCACAGCATTCTTTGAATAACTCCTTATTTTATGGCATGAAAAAGATGTCACCTTGTTCCTTCCTTGCAATCCTCATGGGAAGATCTCCCTCACCCTGCTCTGGCTCCTTCCCCTTATGCAGAACCACCAACCTGATCAGCAGCTCTCCATCACCACTCGGACTTCAACGCCCCCACAGGCTGCCTTCCCACATGAGTATTCTCCTCACCCCTCTTGAGCTTCCATACCCTGAACCAGAAGCCTGCCTTTATCACTGAACCTTCTCCAACCTCCACACGGAAATCTCCTTGCTCTGCTTAGGTCACTTTCTGGAGAGTACACACAACCTCCCCCACTCAAGCTCTGATACTCCTCATCACATTGCCCTTCCATGAGGTTGCTTCACCCACCCTGAACAGGCTCCAACATCATGCCCGGGCAACCCTCCTGCATAGACAACCTCATCCCCAAACACAGCTCTAACACTCCACGCCAAGTGGGGCTGCCCTGCTCACTCCATGTAGATACCTTCTTCACCCCAGTTGTGCTCTGCCACCTTCACTCTGATGGGGATTCCAAGCTTCCTGGGTCCACCTAATGGATTTAGGAGTAAATTGTTCGGGAAGGGAAAGGAATGAAAGGAAAAGGAAGGGAAGGAAAAAAGGGAAGAAGCAGGGAGAGAAGAGGAGGAAAGAAGAGAGAAACAGAGGGAAAAATGGGAAAATAAGTAGAAAAGGTAGAGCTTTATTTTTAAAGCTTGTTAAACTAAAATGCATGTTGAAAATTTGAGGTTAATCCTTAAAAGGATAGAGATCGAGTGTGTAACATCAAAGCTAGTAGAAAAAAAATGGAATAAGAAGGAAAAACTAAAACAATGCAAAAGAAGGCAAGAAAAGAAGAAAACAAGAAGCAAAGAAACAAAAAGAGACAAATAGAAAGTGCTAAATATGTTGGTAGAATTTAATCTAAATATGTTAGGGATCAAAATCATTGAAAAAGATTCAAATTATCTAATTAAAAGATAAAGATAATTAGACTGGACATAAAAACAGACTTCCAACTATATGCAGTTCACAGGCCAGACCTGAAACATCAGGATACAGAAAGTTTGAAAAGGTCCTGGAGGCTGCAGTCTGCAGTGAGCCAAGATTGCACCACTGCACTCCAGCCTGGGTGACAGAGCGAGACTCTGTCTCAAAAAAAAAAAAAAAAAAAAAAAGGTCCTGGACCCCGTTTCCCCCTTAGACTTTGGAGGAGCAAGAGGTCCCAGAGTCCAAGTGATGGAGGAGTCTCTGCTCAGGATGGCGGCCCTGCATAAGACCAGCTGAGCTGGATGAGAGGGTCTCCTGCAGGGCCGCAAGGAAAGAACAAGATGAGCCTGAAACATCTTTTTTGTGCCATTAAGTAAGAAAGTGCTCAAAGAATACTAGGGACATGTCAAAAGGACATAGAAGCCAGTGTGAAGGGGCTCCTACTGAGCAAATCTCAGTGATGCTGATGCCCAATAGCTGCTTTCCCCAGGTCAACTGGTTTCCGTCTAAGTTCCGTCAATGGGAGGCTGAGTTTGGACTATCAGTGGAAGACCGTGCCCAGGGGTTTCCTCTCTTTCAGGGAGTCTCCAGCTCCAGAGGTCTTTCCTGCATTGTTACAGCTTCTCTGTGGTTCTAGGTAATGTGGGTGACCATGACTCCTGGGCTCTACTATCACTTTCTCTCACCTTTGTTTCCCCACCCGCTTCATGGTAGCAACTTCTTGCTGTTGCTCATCTTTACATTGCTTCACCATCCCCGTTGAGTTTCTCTGAATGCCTATCATTTGTGTATCCCATTTCCTGAATTAAATTCTCTATGTTTAGATATTTAAGGAGGTTTCTGTTTTTCTAATTCGACCCCTACTGATGCTCTAGACAAATATTGGCAAAAAGAAAGATGGTATAATTATGTTAACATTAGACAGCACGGACTTTCAGACAAAAAACATGCATGAGATAAACATATAACATAATACAATCATGCAATATAAGAAAATATAACAAAATTCTAAATAGTATGTACCTAATAATCTACCAAGTTATATGCAGCAAATACTAATAAAACTGCAAAGAAAACAGACAAATCACTATTAAAATGGGATATATTTAGCACATTTCTCTCAGTAAGTGATAGCTCATGCTCTCCAGGAATAAGAATATAGATTTCTAAAATACAATTAAGAAACTTTATGTAGTAGACATACAAAGGCCATCACACCAATAACAAGAGAATACATATTTTGTTCAAGCACACATGGATCCCAGATCACATTTTACGCAATAAAAGAGGGCTTACTAAATTTCAAAGGGTATCATACAGCCCACATTCCTAACAATAACACAATATGTTAGAAATCAATAACAAAGAGGCATTTAAAATAATCTCATACATTTGGGAGAAAAAAAAACCTCCTGAGTAAAGAGGAAATCCAATAGAAATTTTAAAATACTTGTATCTGAAAAATAATAGAAAAAATAAAGTAGTATTTTAGGAAAATTTAATGCCTTATAAATTTCTATATAAAAAAAGGAAGGATTAAAATTAAGAATGTTGGACCATCCTGGCCAACATGGTGAAATCCCGCCTCTGCTAAAAATACAAAAAAAAAAGCCGGGCGTGGTGGTGGGTGTCTGTAATCCCAGCTCCTCGGGAGGCTGAGGCAGGAGAATGGAGTGAACCCAGGAGGCGGAGCTTGCAGTGAGCTGAGATCCCGCCACTGCACTCCAGGGTGGGCGATAGAGCGAGACTCTGTCTCAAAAAAAAAAAAAAAAAAGAATTTTAAATAGGAACAACAGTCTAAACCCAACAAAAGTAGAGGACAGAAAATGTCAAAAACAGAAGCAGATATTAATAAAAAATAAAAAAAGGGTAAATTCAGCTGCATTAAAATTAAGAAATTTTGTTCACTAAAAAGCATAATAGAATGAAAAAAGGACATATACTGGAAATAGCATTTATAACATATATTAGCAACAAAGGAACAATATTCAGAACATAAATAATTCCTACCCATCAATAAAACAAACAACCCTACCAAAAATGACAAAATAAATAAATAAGTACTTTACAGAGGAAGAAACTTGCACTGGCATAAACATGAGAAGATGCTCTACTTTATTAATAATAGACTAAATCCCAAACATGTTTTTTTGTTGTTGACAACCACAAGAATGACAAATTTTCACACATGACAATCCCAAACATTGGTGAGGAGGTGCAGTAAAGAGGATTTATGCACTGTTGTTGGGAATGTAAATTGAAACAATTTTTGTGAATAACCCAGTACATTTGGATATGCATATGCCATACAACCAATCAATTCATTTTCTAGGCATTCCCTAAATTAACTGATGCACATATGCACCAGTAGCTGTGTACAAGAATGTCCATGCAACATTTTCGTAAATATACTTTATTTTTAGAGCAGTTTTATGTTGAGAGCAAAACTGAGCAGAAGGTATGGAGTTTTCATATACTCCCTGATCCCACACAGGCACAGCTTTTCCACTGTTAATGTCCTGCACCCCAGGGGAACATTTGTTATCATCAATAAACCTACATTGACACATCATTGTCACCCAAAGTCCATGGTTTACATTAGGGTTCACTCTTGATGTTGTACATTCTCTGCATTTTGAGAAATCTGTAATGGTATGTATCCACCATTTTAATATCATATAGAGTAGCTTCACTGCCTGAAAAATCCTCTGTGCTCTCCCTATTGATCCATCCTCCCCTCAAACACACATCAGCCACTGATCTCTTTACTGTCTTCATAGTTTTGCCTTTTCCAGAATTACATATAGTTAAAATCATACCATATGTAGCCTTTCCAGATGGCGTCTTTCACTTACATATGCATATGAGCTTCTTCTATGTCTTTTCATGGCTTGATGGCTCATTCCTTTTCAGTGCTGAATAATATTCATTGTCCGGATGTGCCACAGTTTACTTATCCATTCACCTACTGAAGGACATCTTGGTTGCTTTCAAGTTTTGGCAATTGTGAATAAAGCCACTATAAACATCCTAGTGCTGGTTTTTCTATGAACATAAGTTTTCAACTCATTTGGGTAAATACCAAACAGCATGACTATTGGATCAGATGATAAGAATATCTTAGTTTTGTAAGAAACTGCAAAATCATCTTCCATATGCCTGTATCATTTTGTATTCCCACCAGCAATAAATGAGGGTTCCTGTTGCTTCACATTCTTGCCAGCATTTGGTGTTGTCAATACTCTAGATTTTGGCCATTCTAATAGGTGTGTAGTGGAATTGCATTGTTGTTTTCATTCTCAATTCCCTAATGCCATATGATATTGAACATCTTTTCATATGCTTCTTGGTTACCTGTGTATCTTCTTTGGTGAGATATCTGTTCATGTATTTTGCCCATTTATAACATCAAGTCGTTCATTATCTTTTGATTTTATGGGTTCTTTGTAGATTTTTTGGATAACAGTTCTTTATCAGATGTATCTTTTTGCAAATATTTTCTCCCAGGCTGTCATCTAATTAATTATGACATTTTCTTTTGCAGAGTGGAAGCTTTTAATGTTAATAAAGCACAGCTTAGTTTTTTTTCATGGATCATGACTTTGGTTTTATATCTAAAAAATTATTGCCATATCCAAGGTCATCTAGATTTTCTCTTAAGTTATCCTCTGGAAGTTCTATGGTTTTTAGTTTTACATTTAGATCTATGACCTATTTTGAGTTAATTTTTGTGAATGGTGTAAAGTCTATGTCTAGGATTTTTTTTTGCATATGGAAATTCAGTTGTTGTAGCACCATTTGTTGAAAAGGCTATCTTTGCTTTATTGTATTACCTTTGCTCCTTGTCAAAAATCAGTTGACTATATTTATGTGGGTCTATGTCTGGGCTCTCTATTCTGTTCTATCGATCTATCTGTGTATTCTTTTGCTAATATTACACTGTCTTGATTACTGTAGCTTTATATCAAATCTTGAAGGCAGGTAATGTCAGTTCTCTAAACTTTGTTCTTCAATATTGAGTTGACTATTCTGGCCCTTTGACCATAAACTTTGGTCTTCAATATTGAGTTGACTATTCTGGCCCTTTGACCATAAACTTTGGACAATCAGTATGTTGATATCCACAAAATAACTTGCTGAGTTATATAAATAAGATGTACAGATAAACTTGGGAAGAACTGAATCTTTACACTATTGAGTCTTCCTATCCATGGAGACAAACTATCTTTCCATTCATTTCATTCTTCTTTTATTTCTTTCATCAGAGTTTTGTAGTTTTCCTCATATAGATCTTGTCCATATTTTGTTAGATGTTACTTAAATATTTCATTTTGGGGGGTGCTGATATAAATGGTCATGTGATTTAATTTCAAATTTTCTTGTTCATTTCTGGCATATAGGAAAGCAGTTGACTTTTATATATTAACTTTGTATGCTGCATTTATAGTTCTAGAAAATCATATAATCACTTAGTTTTATAATGTTTAAAAATCAGTTCAGATTTTCTACAAAGGCTGTCATGTCATCTGTGAACAAAGGAAGTTTTATTTCTTCTTTCCAAATCTGTATACTTTTTATTTCATTTTCTTGTCTTATTGCATTAGCTGGGTCTTCTAGTACAATGGTGAAAAGCAGTGATGAGAAGGGACATCCTTGCTTTGTTCCTGATCGTAGCAGATAAGTTCTGAGGTTTTCACCATTAAGTATGATTTTAGCTGTAAATTTTTGTAGTTGGTCTTTATCAAATGTAGGCAGTTCCCATCTATTTCTAATTTGCTGATTAAGTTTTTATTATGAGTGGATGTTGGGTTTTGTCAAATAATTTTCTGTGTCCATTGATAAGACCATGTGATTTTTCTTCTTTAGACTGTTGATGTTATGTATTACAATAATGGAATTTTGAACGTTGAACCAGCCTTGCATACTTGGGATAAATTCTACTTGGTTGTGGTGGATAAATCTTTGTATACATTATTGTAGTTGATTTGCTAATATTTTGTGAGGAATTTTACATCTATGTTTATGAGTGATATTGGTCTATGGTTTTCTTTCCTTGTAGTATCTTTGTCTGGTTTTGGTATTGGGGTTACGTTTGCCTCATAGAGTATTAGGGAGTATGCCCTCTGTTTTTATCTTCTGAAATAGGTTGTAGAGAATTGGTACAATTTCTTCCTTAAATATTTGGTAGAATGTACCAGTGAACCCATCTAGGACTGGTGCTTTCTGTCTTGGAAAGTTGTTAATGTTTGATTTAATTTCTTTAACAAATGTAGACCTATTCAGATTACTTATATATTTTTGTGTTTGTTTTGGTAGATTGTGTTTTTTAAGCAATTGGTTCATTTCATCTAGGCTATCAAGTTTATGAGCACAACACCATTTTAATAATAAAAATAATTTGAAACAACCCATATATCCATAATCATTAAAATAGATAGATGAATTGTGGTTTAGTCATCTGATGAGATATTATACAGCAATAAAAATATATGACCCATACTTGTGTTTCCCAATCTTTTTTTTTTATATCATATCCCTATGAAGTCTTTTTAGGTATTTTTTCTGAACAACCCTGGGTGAAATTTTAATGCCACAGACAAACTGCATATTTATAGATCATATATACAACTTTGCTGTATACATTAAGACTAAGATATAGATCATATATATAACTTTGCTGTACACATTATGAATCAAATTTTAACCCTTGAGGGCGGTATCACCCCCATTAAGAAAGCATGATTCAATCATCCATATAGATGAATCCTAATATCACATTATTAGGTTCCAAATAGGCAACTCAAAACACTACATTGTTTAGGAACACGAATATATGTGGTAAAATTAGAAAGAAAAACGAGGTTAGAATAAACATAAAATTTCTTCAGCAGTTTCCACTTCAGAGCAAGTAGGCAGAGGGATGGGTGAGTCATGCAGGAATTTTAAGTTATTGGCAATAACTTAAGCTGTTTGGTTGGTACATAGGTGTTTTAAAATTATTGTACTTAAAATGTACATATATTCCATATGCATTCTTTTGCATATATTCTACATGTTACCAAATAAATGCAACACAAAGTGATAAGTGCAACTGCACAGGTGCATTTAAGTAGATGACAAAAAGGAGAACATGATCCACTGCCTGCAAGATTCAGACAGATCTTCAGAGAAGAGGATATGAGTGGATATGTTTCTAAAGGATTCATGGGAGTTTACAGGTAGAGGTAGAAAAAAATATTTTTATGCGGAGGGTTTAGACACATAAAATAGTTTGGGCTTTGGAGGGATTGTAAAGAATTCAATATGCTTTGGAGCATTGAAAGTAGGGGAAAATGTGAGCTATTGATGCTTGATAAATGTAGAAAGATTAAAACGACAAACAGAGGGACATCATTTCTGTAAGTTTCTTCATGATAGGTTTTATCTCATGCCTAAAGCAGAATAAAGTGGTCTGAACTTTTCTTGTAAATAAAACTACCAGCCCCACCTCAGAGCTCAGAGTTCTAATCCTTGACTAAACAAGCTGTGAGTTCTATACTGCCATCTGTATCCACTCAGCCTTCTTCCCATTTGGCCTTGCAAATTGTTCTTTTTCAAAGTTCAAGATTTTTAATCCTTCTGGGCAAGGCTTCACTAATTAAAGCCTAAACAATCTTAAAAGCAAATGAGCTTTTGGGGGCCCTGGGCACCATTCCATGGCTCTGGATCCATTGTTTTTATTTCTTAATACTCAAAAAGACTTCTTTGTTTAATTCTGAGCTTCCATAAGTGCCCTTTTCTCACTTTGAGTCTCTTTCCTCCCTTTTGGCTCTACTTGAGCTCACCACAATTGGTCTAACAAAATCCCACCTAAAAGAAGCTCATCTTTTTGAGGTCACATGATCTGATTCTCTTTGTAAATGCTTACTACATATGCCAATCCCTCAGCTCAGTCACCGCTTGTAGTTGCTTCACATGTGCAATTTCCAAGACAGAAAATACAGATGCAAAGTGTGTAAGTGCAAACAGTAACACATTCCTGATAAGAGAAAATGGAATTTGGGAAGTAACCCTTGATGTACTGGATGGGGGCATCTCAAAGAAGTCATAATTCATGTGCCATTTTTCCCTTCAGCTTCCATTCTGGGAAACAAAAACAGCATTAGAGAAAGAAGGAGGCTGTTTCGACAGAGCCAAACTTGATAATGAATCATCAGTAAAATATAAGTTTTTGACACTTCTTTAGTAGATTACTAGCAAAAAGAGAGAGAGAGAAAGAGAAAGATGAGAGAGAGAGAGAGAGAGAGAGAGAGAGATTAGAGACAAAACAGATCCGGGGACTGCCAGATCTCTCTAAGGGCAACATGCATTGCATTTTGATCATGCCGGTCTCATTTTCCTCTGTGACAAACCTTAACTTTTTAACCTTTGGTGGATACTATTTTCATTAAAAGATTTTTCCGTTGTTGTGAGTTAAAAGTAATTTCAATGCTTGTGCTTAACAAATCAATAAGAAAAAAAAAGTAGCCACCATGTGGATCTATATCTCTTTAAAAACATAAGTAGAACATGTGTTACACAAATTAACAGAGTTCAAAACACGCAACAGTTTTGTCTCTTTTCTGCCCATAATCAGACAAAATCAAAGCCTCCCTGATGAATTTGCTCAACCATTTTCTCTTTTTAGATCTAGGTATTAGTTGTATCTTTGAAAGTGATTGATAGTCCTCTACATAACAAAATGATCTCTTCCCCTCCTCACTCAGAACATTCTCAGTTAAGTTTACTCCGATGCCCAGGAGGCTTCTGAGGTGTTATCACCTTCTCCCCACACTTGGGGAAGCAGCTAACACAAGTGGGACATACTACCTGGGTATACTAATCACTCATCTGCACAGGTCAAGGATAAGGTTCATGTCTGAATTGACTTAGAATGACAGGCCTTAGTTACTTGGATATCCTATTTGAATCTTGAAAATAAACAGTGTCACCCAAAGATCAGTTGAAGGTGGATCATCTTGTTTTAATGTTTAAGTAAAAATGGTTCAAGTCCCCACCGAGCAGGATAGTGGAAAAACCAGCAACAAGTAACCTCCTCCCTGAGCCTCCCAATATTCCTAGGGATTCTCCGGGGGTTATAGTCTTTTTGGTCACTTTTGTTCTTACTATCTCTTTCCTTTGAATCCTTGCTTTCACAAGGATCTCCTCTCCAGGAGCTGTGTCTTTCTTTCAGGATAACATAGAAGTTAAGAGCACAGAATCTGGAGTCAGTTGTAGCTGAGTAACTCTGCCTCAGTTTCCTCATCTGTAAAAACGGGCTAATAGAACATCTCCTCAGAGGTTGTTTTTGATATTAAATGAGCATAAAGCACTTGGAAGAGGACTGCCACAGCGAAAAAGCTTTATAAGTATTAACTATCTCCCTTTCTCACCTCTACCCAAAGGTACACAGCCCTTTTATCTCTGCTTTCCTGAAGCAGCCTTTGTAAGTGGAAGGATTGTACTGAAGGCTCAGCAGCAATAGAGGTGAGTGCATGTAGCCTGATTTGTCAATAATTGCAATGTCTCCTCCAGTCCTGCAAAGCACAAGATCACTCACTGACCATCTCCTTCTCCAGTCCTTCCAGGCTCTCACCATGGTGCTTGAGCTATTCCCCTTCAACGTCCTCCTTACCCCTTCCTCCTCCCTCCTCCTTCTCAGCTCCCTCATTCCCTCTGCTCAGGATCCCCAGACCCTCCAAATCCTCCCACTGTTTTGAAGAACAATTCAACATCACAATTTGCCCAGATGCATCATTTGGGCCAATCCTTTAGAAGCTTCAGCATTAGACTCTAAGAGGACTCTCCAGGCATTTTTCAAAATGCAGAGCCATGTCAAGAAAAAAGTTTCCACTCCCCCGGGCAGAAACAGCTGCCAACAGCTGTGATTTTAAAAAACACCTTTTCTCTGAGTCATACTCAATAATGACAATAACAACTAATGCTTAGAATGTGCTTTGCAACCACCACAACTGCCTCACATCTATTATTATTGCAGTCCTTTGAAGGAGTACTTAAAACTTTCTGCATCTCTGTTTTCTCATCTGAAAAATGGAGAACATATAATAGCAACTACCTCATAGGGTCATTGTTAGAATGCAAAAAATCAAGACAGTGCCTGGCATTTGGCAAATGCTTAATTACTTTGTTATTTTCTCGATTTGACAGCTAATGAAATGGAAGCTGGGCAGTGCTGAGTCCCTGGGTCACAGTTACCGAGAGGAAAAGTGGGCTGGCTGAGATTTCATCCCAGGCTGCCTGCTACGAAGCTCCTCATCTGCCTCCCTCGAATCAAGTGCTACATCCAATAATAGGGACTAAACCCACATCTGTAGCTTCTGAGTCGAGAGATCTGAATAGAGAAATCAGCAGTTAAAATAAAATTAAAATAGCTCTGAACATTTAAGAATGAGGGAATTTCACATGAAACACTAGATATAAGACTTCTCATGTAAAAACTGAAGTATTTAGTCTACATGAGTTGATGGAAACCACCAGTTAGAGCTGAGCGGCTACTGTTTTTTCAGAATGTGGCCTCCTGGTACGCCAGAGTCCAGCTTGCTTTGCTTTGTTATTTTACCAACCTGGACCCTGCTAACATTTGCACTTGTACCCCTTGCCATTACTATGGCTAACCTAAGTATATAGCCTACATTTATGTGAGTTAAGTTTAGTGATTAACAAATCATCTCTTCCTACGTATGATTTAGTGGAAACTTCAGGAGACCCCAGTGAGCTGACTTTGTGGTGCCACAGCAACAAAAGGCACACAATTCTTTTCACACAGAAGCTTTCACAGCTGCTTCAGAATGGCCTCTCTCCTTGCCCTGGCCACTGTCCAGCGAACTGAATGGAAAGACCCTTCCAAAACTGACCAGGTCCCTTACTCTGAAAACTCTGCTATGGAGGTTCTGAGACTTCTCTGAGCATGTCCACCGCACAGGTCTGGACACAGCTAAAGAGTCTGTGGTCGTATTCATGACGGATCTGCTTAAGACATTTTCCAGAGTGCATTTCCTTGAAATGCACTCATTGCTGCAGGATGCTAACCAGCCTCCCTACCACCAATTCCCATGGCTTCAATTCATCCTGGATCCAAATGACAGGATAATCTGCCTCAAACATCTATCTTATTACAACCCTCATGTGCTCCAAACCCTACAGAAACTCCCTATTGCTGCCTGCATCCAATCCACCTTTTTTAGTCTAGCATTCAAGGCCCTCATCAATTATTCTGTCCCTGGTGGAACATCTCCAGCCTTATCTTGAACCTCTCTATGACATGGCCCCTCTGCTCTAGATTAAAAAGTTGGTGGACTGTCTGCATTTCCTGGCTTCCATTCTTGGTTCATCTTCCAGAAGCCATCACTGGATTTCCTCCTCATCTAATCACATCTTTTTTTTTCTCTATCCTCTATTATGTATATATTTTATATCATGTACCTGAAATTAGCTCAATTTTATACTTTTTCCAAGCACAAAGAAATTAATACATCCCTCCCCTGTCTTGTGCTTATAACAGGCATTACTAGTCAATCATGGTGCATTCCCCCGCTGAGCTGTTCACAGTTTCTAAATCTTTCTCAGTATTAAGCTCCAGTTAGTACAAGATTCTAACTTGTCAGTTAGAGTCGGATATGGCACATGACCTGTTTACCATCCCTGCTCTACCTTGAAGCGTCATCACAGTTCTAAATGGTGGAAGTGGGAAGGCTCAGCAAGAGGACAAGGGCAAGGACAAGCGCTTCTTCATTTATTTTTCCTCATTTTCTCTCTGAAGTTCAAGTCTCTCTATGTGAAATGTGTAGGTCATGGTCAATGGAATCATATAGTCCTTAAGATTGGTAACTGCTTCCCATCAATTCATCTCCAATGCTGCCTGGACTCTTCTCAAAGTGTCCAAATGGCTATAGCAGATCCAGTCCCTTCTATGTTAAATTAAATGGGAAGGAGCAATATTCTTTTCGCAGAAGCCAGAGAAAATGTCTTTGCGTCTCACTGGATCCAAGTGAGTTATGTGATCCTCCCTGATCCAATTCCTTTGCATGTGTGTGTGTATGTGGTGGAGGGGGGCACGAAGTGTTATAATTGATCAGCACCGAGACTCATGCTCCACTCTTAAACCTGGAGTGATCATGCGAAGAAAAGTTGAGGGTGCCAGAAGACTTGAAGGCTGCTGGGTATTAATTATCTTAAAAATTACATATTCATGTCTACCAGGTACGAGGCATTGGTCTAGGTTCTGGGGATACAGCAGTGAACAACATGAGGTTTCAACCCCCTGGAATTTATTCTGTAGTTGGGGGATACAGAAAATAAACAAATACATGTGTCTATAATAAGTCTGATGGAGATAATTGTCACATAAAAATATAAAACAGGATGAGGAACATAGTGAGGGCTATGATGCAGAGGAAGGTGTGACCATTACTATTTTATGTAGTGGTTGGAGATGCTGCCTCTGTTAAAGCAAATCTTGGCAGTGAGCTAAAGCAGTTGAGGAAGCAAAGCAGACAGAGATACCTGGGGGAAGGGGAACAGCACATAGAGGGAACAGCAGGAGCAAAGTCCTGAGGTGGGAGCATGGTTGCTGAACTTGAGGATCATCAGGAAGGCCAGTGTGGCTGGAGCAGAGTGAGTGAGGAGAAGACAGCAGGTGATGAGGTCAGGGGTTAACTGGTGGGAAGTGGGACAGGGAACTGATATTGGAGGATCTTTAAGGCCCTTGTGGTGACTTTGGCTTTTATTGTTAATGAGACAGAAAACTACTGGAAGGTTTTGAGCAGATGGTGATACAACCTAACTGTATCTTAAAAGAATAACTTTCATTCTCTTTGCAACCAGGGTCAGGGTAGAGGGGTGGGGTGGGAGTAGGATGACTAGCTAGGAGCCTACTACATTTTTTTTAGGCGGAAAATTGTGGTGATTTGTAGCAGGGTGATAGTGATGGAAATGGTGAGAAGTGGTTGGACTTGAGACATGTTCTGCAGGTAGAACAGATGAGATGCCCTGATACTGCATGTGGGGTGTGGAAAGAGAGGAGGCAAGGATGACTCCAGGGTTTTGGGCCTGAACAAAGGAAAGGACAGTGCTGCCACAGAGAAGACTGAGGGAAAGCAAGATTTAGGATGGAATGGTTTTGCATATTTTAGATGCTGAGAAGGGATAACAAATCAATAATTAATATATAAGCCTGAAGTTCAAGAGAGAGGGGCATGAGTTGGAGATTTAAGCCTGGGAGTTGTCAGTATCAAGATGGTATTTAGCCATGAGAAGAAATGAAGAAACCAAAGGGGTTTGTACAGATAGAAGAGAAAAGCCATCCCAGGTGTGAGCCCTGCAGTCCTCTCCAGCAGGATCTGGGGCAAAAATGTCCCTTTACAGTGGCCCTGAGTGCTAACAGCTCCCCTTCCAGGGATTGCACAGTGAAAATAATTTTTCCCTTTGGTTTGACTTTTTGCTGAACTCCAACTTTTGTCTTTGAATACGACTTTTCTATTTCATTTTAAACTTTGCAAATGTTTTCCATGCATAGCCCCCCAAATATTGACACATCACGAAGGTCAGCCTAAATGGAACTGCCAAAGCAAATGCTGGGATAGCCAAGAGCAGAACTCTGGTTTATCTTGGAAGGCAGGATCACCATGCCTTGGCTTTCAAGGCCAGAATGGCCTGCACAAGGGCAGAGAAAGATATTGGCACAGGGCGGATGAGGTCATAGCCAAGTCCTGTCACTGCATGGGCACTTGGGTAGGGCATGAGAAGTTTAACCAGGTCAGGGGTCCTATACTGGGACCCCCAGACTCTGGGTCAGCATCCCAGTGACTGGTGCTCAGGCAAGCTGCAGGGCTTCGCTCTCCCCATTGGCCAGCTCGATTAATCTGGTGGCTAATCAGGCCCCTTTGAAGGGGGGGGGGGCGGATGAAAGAGTGGCACACCTGTTTTCACTTGACTCCAATCCTGAAATAATTCTGTAGCTCCTACAAGATTTGAAACAAATTAAATTTGAAAGGGCAGAGAGGGCAGCTTTGAATGGTTGGCTCTGTGGAAAAATGCTGGTTTTCGCTCCAGGAAATGGCTTAACTGAGAGACTGTATTCCTGGCCTCGGTGGCTGGGGTGGCTGTCAGTGCATGACCGTGACTCGGGCCTTGTTGGGTGGGTTCTTTTGCCTTGTTATCTCTGGCATCAGGCTTTTGCTTTCTGGACTTTGATAATGTCAGTGGAAGGTTATAATGGTAACAACATGAAAGGCCGTTGTCAAGAAGAGAAGGCATGCAACCCTATTTGGGGAATCTGTGTTTTAAGTAAAGATACACTCAGCAGTGACAGACGCGATTCTGTTAGCCCAACACATGGAAGATTACTGTTGGACAGGACCCTTTAGAATAATTAGGCTCATGCTTCCTTTCAACAAATGAAAAGACTAAAGCCTGATGCAACTTCTGTTACAGGCAAAGCTGGAATAGCTAAGGCAGGGGTTCCAGGCTGGAGCTCTTCTATGCTTATCTTCCGAGTGGTCTCCAGGATGAATAAAAAGAAGTGTTGTCAGAAGAGTCCCAGGCCTCCATCTGCCTTCATAAGAATCTGAATCTTACTCAGGATTTGGGGAGTGAGGAGGCAGGAGTGGAACAGGAGGCAATTCCTCCCATCTGGACCAAAGCCCCAGGAGTTGCAATGATGAGAAAGAGAATCCCCCCCAGACTCAGAGCAGCAGCAGCAGATCCTTTCCTTCTTCCACTGCTCGCCTTTTACCCACAAACCCTTGTGGAGCCTCCTCCAGGTGCCAGGCAGTGGGCTGCTGAGATGGAAACTGGCAAGTGGGCCTCTCTCAGACTTACAGGCCTGCCACTTTGATCTTTCTTATAGACGCAGCCAGATGTGATCAGTGTGGCAACCTGCCTCCTTGATCTGTTGCCAACTAGGGGTTTGACAGAGAAGTTGAGAGCTATGAGGTCACTGCCTTTTATGGTATCCGTCATTAATACCTCCTTGGTAACAGTCAGAATTTTCTTGTCTGAGACCTAGGGCAGCTGATTAAGCACTCCTGCTAGCCCAGGGTCTGGTCCTGACTGATTTTAAGGGCTCTCTTCATCCCCTCCACAGAAAGAGAAGCTAGAAGGCCCAATTGCAAGGCCACTTTGACCTTTGCTTCAGGATCCTTGCAGACTGAGACATTTCAATCAGTCCAAAACACAGAGACCTCTCTAATGAGGACTTGTCAAGACCTTCTGTTTGATAAGGGGCGGATTCTGTCACTGTGTCAATTTTCCTTCCCACTGATGTTCCTGTGGCCTTTGATAGCACAGATCACACACACATAGGTGTGTCTTTCATGCTTCTCAGCCTCACAGACCAGGGTCTGCCAAGCCATCATTAATATGCACCTCAGTGCAGCTGGTGGGGAAACTGATAGAAATAAAGGAGCCGAGGTTCCCTTTTATGTGAGCTCAGGAAACCCATCGTACACAAATGTTAAAACGGAGATTGTTCTTCAGAGCAAAAGAGACCTACAGAACAAATTGTAATCACTTGTGTCAGTGGCATTACAAAATTGGGACTATTTACTGTCTTCTTTCTTAAACATTAAGCCTTAAACATCACCCAGTCCTGTGCCTTTTCTTCTAATTAGGCACAGTAGTGGTGGGAGTTTTTCTGGTTGCAAACAATAGAAGCCAATTCTGGAAAACTTCAGTAAAAAGATTATTTATTGGAGGCTGGAAACTAGGTTTAGAAAGAGGACAGAAACCAGTGCTGTTCTGGGTGCAGGCAGAGCTAATGATTTAGCCAGCTATGCTAAGTACTTTCTCTGGAATACATGCCCTCCACCCATTTTCCCATTCTTTAATTTTCTTACAAGGAAAGGCAGGCTGTTTGGCTTAGTTTGGGTGATGTGGTTTTTCCTTGGGTGGCCAAGGCAGATAGGTGCAATGGGAGGGGTGACTTTTCAAAAGACACTAGTGTTGTCGTTCACTAGAGACTGGTTGCCAGACAGCTAAATAAGTCTACACCTAGGCTACACTCAGCATTGCTTAGTCAGTCTGTTTTCTTCTTAAATCTGTACCTTTATATCTAGTCTCATTGCCTTTGTCATGATGATCTCTACCTCAATAGAGCTGCTATAAGGAGTAAAATAAATAGGGTATGAAATTTCTTAGCATAAAGTCTAGCACTTAGCTGAAGGATATTATTAATTGCATTTGAATTTGAATAGACTTTCTAAGAGACCTCCGTAACTACTTTATCTTCAGTCTATCCTCCATATCACTGCTAGAGTGAACTTTCTAAAATGCTAATCTAATTTTGCCATGCCTCTGCTCAAAAAACCCCAATGGCTTCCATTGACTACAAAATAGTCTAAAATTTTTAGCTTGATATAATACTGCATATTTACTCTTTTATAAAGTAACACCCCGGTAAATGCTGAATAACTTGTGCCCTGGAGGAGGAGGGGCAGGGAATTTATGCATGTATATGTATACATTATTTAATTATAAAAAGTTTATTGATATAACAGATGTTTAGCACACTCTTTACAAATAATAAAAAAGTACAATACTCTTGTAAACTTCCTTTAGCCAATTGATTCTTATAGAATGCTTTTGTTAATTCTTGCCAAACTCCTGTGTCTGTTGCTAATCTATAGTTGCAACTGATGAACAAGTATAGTTCCAACGTGTCAGTTGATATTTTCTTTCAGCACATAATATAAAGGGGAAACACTGAAACTTCACTTATCATCAAAGATGTGAGTCATCTTTGCTAAATCAGACATTTGCAAATACTGGAGGAATATTTGTTCAATATTTTGTGCCATTTACAATGTAATGGTTATGGATACATTTGCATCATTAACTTTCTCCATCACTTTCTTGAGTCTAGATAATCAATAGAAAAATAAATTCATCCCTGATTGTCTTATGTTGTCCAGGCTGGTTTGGAACTCCTAAGCTCAAACAATCTTACCAGCCTCAGCCTCCCAAAGTGCTGGAATTACAGGCTCCTGGCCCATATAAATCTGAAAATGGCTATGTTTGATACTATCCTGCAAAATTTCTGAAACGTTAATAATTGGCTCTCACAAGTCAATGAAACCCACCTCCAGCACACCATTGCATTGACCCCTAAGGCTTAGCAAAAGCTTATTTATAAACATTTAGGGAATGAAGGAATAAACAGAAGGCTTCATCTGATCCAAAATGACTTTACTAGTTTTCTTTCCTACCCTCTCCCACTAGCACCCTCTACTCCAGTCAACAAAGTGAGAAGGGCGCTCTGGTGAACATCAGTTATTTTTGCCTGCCAACAGCATTCAACTTCCTTTATCTTGGCAATGAGATATGGATTTTCCTTTAGGAAAGCTACCCCTCCCTTGCTCTGAGTATGTGAAGTTCAGGTGGAGTTACCCCATCACCTCACTCCTGGGTGGACATGTGACAGAAGTCTGGCTGTAACTAGGACACAGCAGGCCAGGGAGCAAACTGGGATGATCAGAGCCAATGAGTGCCAGTCCAGGGACATTTTCAGGAACCACTGGGAAGGAGATGTACTTTCTCTCTGGGGAGTACTAAGCTGGTAAGTTTGAGCTGCTGGGGGCCTTGCCTACCACCACTTAGGGAAAACCTGTCTGCATCTGAAACCAATAAGAAAAAACAGAGCCAAGAGCTGGAGAAAGAGGTTATGGATGATCATTTGAGCACCTAAATTCAACCATTATTTTACTTCTCTGTGCCCCAGTTTTCCCATTCTGTGAAGTGGGGATCATGTGAGTACTTCCTTTATGAAGTTTGGGAATTACATGAAGTAAGACATATAAATCACTTAAGCAGTACCTGTATTGTTTACTTACATAAGCTGATAATCCCTTTAAAAAAAAAACAAAACAGTGATTGAGTATCTGTCACTTGTAGCTAATACAGGTACCCAAGGAGTAAATTCAGTTGCTGGTGAAATCAAACTTCAAGTCTCTGTCCAGGGTGAACCTAAGGACCAGTCAGTTTGCAAGAAAAGGCAATATGTAACCTGTTGTCACAAGCTCTGTTTCTCTTCTCTTATTCTCCCTTTATTAGAGTTCATGGTAGGATCAGTCAGGCTCCTGGTACAGAGCAGATATTGAAAAAAATATTTAGTCAACAAATGAATGAATAACTTAATGCCTTGTGTATTATTGATTGCTGTGAAACCAATTACCCCCCAAACTCAGTGGCTTAACAATAAACATTAATTAATTTTCACAGTTCTGTGGCCAGGAATTTGGCAGCTACTTGTCTGGGCAGTTCTTGGTGGAGTCTCACATGAGACTGAGTCAGAAGTAAGCCAGGGCTGCAGTCATCTGAAGCCTTGACTGGGGCTGGAGGATTTGCTTCCAAGATGGTGCACTCCCATGGCTGGCAAGTTGGTGCTGCCTGTTGATGACAGTCCTCAGTTCCTCTCCACATGGGTCTCTCCACAGTGTTCATCAGTGACTTGCAGCATGGTGACTGGATCCACCTAGTCTAGAAGTTGCAATGCCTCTGATAACATAACTCCTGAAAGTCCTAATCCAGTGTGGAGGATACTAAACTGTTCTTTGTCACACAGATCAACCCTGATTCACTGTGGGAGGGTACTACTTGAAGGGATGAAATAACAGAAGACAGGGATCATGTGGCACCGTATTGGAGGCTGGCTACTACAGCCTTGAATGGATCAAAATTCCTCTCATTAGTCTTGTCTTTGAACCACTGTGGGGGAAGGTGAGATCTTTTGAGTTGCTTGAGATTTGGCCTTTGTAAATTAAAGTTCCTGGTATTAATAACTCTTAGAAATCTTGATGCTATAACTTTAAAATATTAGCTGCTAGAAATTTGGATGTCACAAAACAATTTGGGAAAGATGCAGCCAAAACTTTCTCCTTGACCTCTACAAACACACACACTCTCACAATTCCTTTACTGCCTGTTGAATTTTCACAATGAAAGCATTCTTCCTGAGCGGAAATGAAATTAAGCTTTTCTGGGTAATCCCACACTTTTCCTAATATGTACTGACTTCAGACAAATACATGTTTCACAGAGTAAATACAGCCCAAGGGCCCAGTTTATTCTTGGAAGAGTTGGAAGAACTGACATCATTTTCTTCTTGTGATCTGTGGGTATTTTTCACCTGGTGAGAATTGGCACCAACGCCTTTGCTCCAGGCATGGCAACACTTGGGTACTGTGTTTCCAAAGATTCCAACCTGAGCCTCACTGAGTTGGAAGAGGCTCAGGTTGGAATCTTTTATCATTTCCCTGGCATTCTCCCTTTACTCGTAGGGCTACATATTTTCTCACCTCCTTTAATTCTGCACAAAGCCAGGATAATGTATGATTTAGGTTAGGGTACAAACATGCAGGAATAGAGTATTGCAGGCTCTGGAAAACAGCCCCACCTAAAACTGCTCCTCAAATCCTACTCGTCATCTGTTCTCTCCTATGGAGCCTGTCCTGAATTTCACACAAGAAAGCTCAAGGCCATCAACATTTGGAGCAAAACTGGAATTGGGCTGCAGGCCTTGAGCAGGCACTTTTATTAAATGTTATTATTTTATTTTTGCTTCTGAAGAGTTACCCTGAGATTTTCTTATAACTTTGTGTAATCCCTCACCCTTTTTCTGGCATAGTCGTCAACTTAATAAGCATTTATTAAGCCCCTACTATGTGTCATAAGATGTGAGCGGCACTGGAGGTACGAAGAGCCCATGGTTTCAGGGGAATGATGCCTAAGTCAGCACATGCTAAACCTGTGCTAAGTACCCACATCAGTGCAAATCATGTAGGAGCCTTCACAGGGGACATGAGAAATGAATGGAGGCCTTAAAGAAAAGAATATTTCACCAAACAAGAAAATGATTGATGGAGGGATCCCTGCCAACTCCAACATATCCAGAAACACAGGTTTCATGTGAACCTTAGGAGCATTTTGGGGCAAAAGTAAGAAACCCAACATGGCACAGAGAGTGTAGAGCCAAGAAAGGCTATGTCAGGCTGCAGAGGTGGGGTTTTCAGTGCCCAGTAATTTGGATTCATGCAAGAGGCCAGGGGTTTTGAGACTTTTTTTCAATTAGCAAAGCTCTTTTTTTTCCTAACTAAAATTTCCCATAGAGTCCCAATATTTAACATAGATACAAGACATAAGGTTACTTTTGTGGTCACACAGGGAAGGGTTTAGAGCAACCTTTTGGTTGAGTCTTCCCAGCCCCATCTTCCTACTCCACAGGGAAGCCACTAAGTTACACTATAGAGAAGACCAAACAGAACAGTTTTGAGAACACCTGCTATGGGCAAGAGGGAGCTTAGGTGGTTTTTCATAAAAAAGTGAAAGTGTCAGGCACGTGTGTATGTGTGTGTGTTTATGAGTGTGTGTGTATGTGTGTGCACGTGTGTGTGTGTGAATTGGCATTAGCATGGAAACAGATTTGGCAGTGAGACTAGTTAGGAGACTATTGTGCTAGTCCAGGCAAGCCTCCTGGGACCTTGGCAGTGGAAATCACAGTCTCTATTCAGAACCTTATCTAGCTCCCAGCTAAACCTGTAATCCCCTTCATAACCTCTTCTTTATGCACCGCCTAGACCTACTTGAAGACTGTCAGTGATGAGGGACTCAGCACCTCCTGCTGGCTTACTCTACCTTTAGATTTTACTTCTATTAAGTTAATTATGGCTTGGGGCAGCTTTCATCTGCTGCTTTTCTCACTGCTTTGGTCGAGGTACAAATGTAAACCCTCTTTTCCTGGCAGCTTTTGCATGTTTCTGTTTGATCAACTCAACATTTGTGAGGTTCTCAGCATATGCCAGGCTTTGTGCTCTGTAGAAGGGGTACAAAATGAAGGAGCCCTTACTCTCAAAGAAAATAATGGCTTTTGGGGGTATGAGGGGTCAGGCTCATAATGACATCATTACTATATAGCTATGGGGACACTGATTAAGGAGTAATGAATTCAGCCTGATTTGGTGTCTGTTGGGAAGTAGAAGAAGTCTCCCAACAGGGAGAGTACACTTACTTGTTGCCATATAAATGAGTTGAATTTAGTTTTGTCAACAGGACAAAGAGAATGGAAAGATGATAGAGCGAGGAAGGGCATTATAGGCAGAGGTGATGGTGTGAGAGCACGCAAGGAGGTATATGAGAGTCCATCTGCAAGCTCCATCTCCCCTTCTTTCAGCTGCTCCATCTATGACATGACATATAACCTAGCTGTTAAAGATGTGTCTTTTGGAGTCAGGCCGCTTGGCTTCATAACCCAAGTGTTTCATGCATTAAGCTGTTCAATTTTTGGAAGATTGCCTAACCTTTCTCTGATACAGTTTTCTGGTCAGTAAAATGAGAATAGTAATATTACCTACTTTATAGGGTTGTTGTGAAAATTAAACAAGTTAATCTACATAGAGCAATTAGAACAGTGTCTGCCATGTAGTGAATGGAATTGGTTGGGCATGCTTTGAACACATGGCAGTTATGAATGGCAGGTTATAGACTCTACAGGAATTTCAGAGGCAAGTTCTCTGGATGTAGGGGCTGGCTGAATGCATAAGGTGAGAGAGGAAGAAGTACTGAAATTCAGGTGACCATCCCTGTCCCAGAAGGACTGTGCCTTTGGTGCAATTTGGTGTCCATTTAGGGGTGGGCTGAGGGGACAGCTCAGCATAGGTGATCTGCCCAGTCAATCCTTGCTCCCCAAGGGCCTTTACTGAGAGTGCATTAGCACAGGCTCAGGAGCAAGTTGTTCCTTAGTTGGCAGTTGGAGTTTCTGGCACAAAGAGTGTGGATTCCAGAAGAAGCCACAGGGAGCTGAAGGCTCTAGGGGTTGGCTTGGCATGTCTTTGAAGTTAAAGCCTCTGGGCATCTGTGTGCTTAGGCAAAGGCCAGAGGCCACAGAGCTGAGCGAGGTCACCACTATACCCAGCGTGGAGACAGCATGCCCTTCAAGCCCAGGGGCCAACCTGCAGCCCTGAATTAGATCACTCAGAAATCACAGACCTCAGGAATCAAGTAAGGCCTAAATGATTTTCACTGTGATATGGTAGAGTGAGCACAGAGATTGGAGCCAGAAGAACCTGGCAAGTGTGACCTGAACTAGTTATTTAAACTCTCAGAGTCTGGGTCTTTCTTTCCTCACTTGTAAAGTAGACATAACAATTAACTCAGCCCTCCCCTCGAAAAACACTGTCTATCCCAGAAAGTGACTATGAGGGTCAAATGAGCTCATGGGAATGAAAGTCCTTTTGAAAATGGAAGGCCATGCAATTCCTGAATGTGTTGCACTCTCGCCTTCCCACCTTTACCTGTAACACCTGTAATATCTTTTTTACTATCTTGCTACTAGTAATCACTATGCACTTTTCCTTACTTCTCTTCCTTCCTTCCTTCTTTCCTTCCTTCCTTCCTCTCCTAGACCTCCTCCTCCTCTTTCTTCTTCTTCTGCTTCTGCTTCTCCTTCTTCTTCTTTTTCCTTTCCTTTCCTTTCCTTTCCTTTCCTTTCCTTTCCTTTCCTTTCCTTTCCTTTCCTTTCCTTTCCTTTCCTTTCCTTCCCAGTCTTTTGTGTCTTAGATTAGTTATGACTTCCTCAGAGAAGACTTCCTTGTCCCTAAGAGTGAGCTGTGTACCTCTCTGTGTCCTCCCACATAGAGACCCCTGCACTTTTATTATCACAGCACTTTGTACTCTCTGTTGGAATTGCTTTTAAAATTGTCTCAATGAAAGATTTTACATGCCCCTCAAGGGTAGGGATGTGCCATAATCCCTGTAGTCATCCCAGTACTAGAGTACTCTGGGGATGTATATTTGAATAAACAAATAAATGAATGAATTACTCAATTGCTGTGCAGATGTAAGCAGTTGCCATCATATTGGTCAACCAACATTTAGAGTGTGACTATCTTGTTTCAGGTTCTGTATTAAGGGCTGGGAATACAAAGATGGACAAGAACCTTCCTTCTGCTTCTCACTCATAGTAGAGCATGTAAGTGGATAATTACTACAGAGTGCAGCTCCATGGACTTAAGAAAGAGGTAAAGAAGTGACCCCTTCAGAAAGCATTGTAGGACACTGATGTAAAGGCATGATTCATTTTCACGGCCTTAGGGCGTGTGATACAAGAAAGAGCACTGTTTTCTTCTGCTGGCTGGTAAGGTTGGGCTCTGCTTGTGGGAATGAGACAGGGCTGTGAACCATCTGTGATG